>NC_000017.11:5945656-6097171 GCF_000001405.40 Homo sapiens | reverse complement strand
TGTGTAAAACCACGGGCTGTGTGTGGCGTCAGGAGCAAGGGCTGCAAAGCCGGCCGCTCTGTGCCAGTGTGTGGCTGTGTGTGGCATCAGGAGCAGGAGCTGCAAAGCCGGCCACTCTGTGCCTGTGTTTGAGGGCTCTCAGCTCTGCACACCTGCCCAGCCTCTCGCAGCAAGCAGGCATCTGAGTATCCCCCATTGGGAGCTACTGGGAGGATTAAAGCAGATAACCCCCCGCAGGAAGGCTCCTAGTGCCATGCCCAGCACACAGCAGGACTATCCAAGCTGGTTGCTCAAGGCAGGCCTGCCTCCAGCCTGGTCTGGACCACAGAGTTCCTTTGATTCCAACCAGAGGGCCTCTCAAGGGAACTGCTCTGAGCTGCAGGTGTGAGGGAAGCCCTAGGAGGGTGGCTCATTCTCCTGAGAGCACCAGCAGGGCCGGCAGCTGAGCGCGCATCCTTGCTGCCTCTACCCATCGCTCTGCTCCCATGAGGAGGAGAAGGGATGAGGAGGTCCCCAGGCCAGATGTCCGCAAATCAACAAACTGCCTTTTTGGCTCATTTAATTGTGTCGTGGGTGCCCTGATGCCCAAGACATCCTTGGCTGTGGCTTCGGAAATGCTGGTGACGCAGGAGAGCCACTTCAAAGGATGCACTTGGACAAGAAGAAAGCACATATGAAAGCCCCCTCCAGCCCCCTCCAAGGGAGGTGTCCAGCCCCCTTGTTCTCCAGCCCCCTCCAAGGGAGGTGTCCCCAGAGTGCGGAGGAACACATGAAGCAGGGAGAGCGGGAGTGGGGGGGTGCAGCAGAGGATGGCTGTGCTGCTCCTGCAGATCCGATCACATCTGCTGTCATTGAAGTCCACCCCTGCACCCTTCAACCCACAGCAGACTATGGAGCTACCTGAGTTCAAACCCTGACCCCACCACTTACTGGCTGTGTGACCTCAGGCACACGGCTCAAACCCTCTGCCTCAGTTTCCTCACCTGGAAAATGCAGATAATCACAGCACCTAGCTGTAGGGTTGTTAGGAGGATTAAATGAGTTAACCCATAAAGCGCTTGGAACAGTACCTGGCATGGAATGAGCGATCAACGAATGGCAGCTTCTGTTGATTGTCATAATCGTCATCATCATCCTGGCCAAGGCCATCCTCTCACCTTAGCCCTGTTCTATTACATTGCCAAGTATCAAAGCCACATTGAGGGTACAGCAATCCCAGCGCATGTGAAACAGCCCCAGCCCCAAGCCTACTGCCACCAAGGGCCATTTCTAGAGCCACAGCATCCACCCCAATCTGGAGTCTGCCTGACTCCAGCCCGAGATCTCAATGTTCTTTGGACACAGTCTGCTGGGTCTCCCCCAGCCTTGCTTCACACACTCCAGGCCCTGCTTTTTGCAAGCCACCTCTGGCCTTGACCAACTTTCCCCACCCCAGAGCTACCATGCAATGCGGGGTCAGTGGCCTTTGGTGCCTAGCCCTGCCCCTCCATGGGGTCACGCTCTACTCCTCAGCCCAGGCTAAACCAAAGATGCAAGTGTGGCTCCAGCCCCTGTCATCAGATTCACGGCCCAACACCGTCAGCACCAATAACAGAAAATCCATCAGCTATCCCCAAGTCCCGAGCCAGCATCTTCTGGCTTCCAAACCAAGTCAATTTAACATCTGACACTTGTGGCAAGAGTTCGCATCCAGAAAGGCACTCTCCTTTCGGCTTTACAAGCCTTGCTGACAATTCCCCACCCAGCCTCACATGGTGGACAGAGGCGAAGGGCTCCCTGCCGGCTCCCTCTGTGGTACCTGGTGCCTGCCTCCCATCCATGCCCCCTTCCTCTGCTCCCATCTGGACTGCCAGAGGGGACACCCGCAGCCCAGCACATGTGCCCCCCTCTCTCAGGACCACCACACACACTTAAAGGAAAGGGTTGTGAAATGATCACTTGGTCTTACTTTCTGGGAACAAAAGCCCGAGCAAGTCCCCACGGTCACATTGGCCTGTATCAGGGAGCTGGGGAAGGCATGTGTGATGTTCTCTGGCAGTCGGAAGCATCCGCGGTAGGTGGCGGTCCGCCCTGGGGGAAAAGAGAGGGGTTTCTGGTAAGAGATGGTGTCCAGTTGTTGGTGCCTGTCACCAGGGAAAATGCTGGCTTTAGGTCCTGAGACAGGTATAAATAAACTTACGAGGCGAGTTCAAATCAGGGAGGGAAAACGGCCCTGCATGGGACATAGTCATGCTGAGCTTCTGAGAGAAACCAGGCATCAGCACCTTGACCGTCCAGGGTCATCTACAAGGGACCACTTGGCTGAAACTGCAGCGCTCAGCTCTTGCTTCTGCCAGTTCTCCATAAGTCATTCCTTCCTCCCTTCCTCCCTCCCTTCCTCCCTTCCTTCCTTCCTTCTCTTGCTTCTGCCAGTTCTCCATTCCCTCCCTCCCTCCTTCCCTCCCTCCCTTTCTTCCTTCCTTCCCTCTCCCTTCCTTCCTTCCTTCCTTCCCTCTCTTGCTTCTGCCAGTTCTCCATAATGCCAGCCTTCCTGCCGGCCTGCCTACCTTCCTTCCTTCCTTCTCCTTCCTTCCTTCCTTCCTCCCTTCCTTCTCCTTCCTTTTCCTTCCTTCCTTCCTTCTTTCTTCCTTCCTTCAACAAATTTGGATGGTGCTTTTACTAGGTGCCAGATTCCTCCCATGGTAGGTGACCTGAGAGGCTGATATTGTGAAAAATTCAATGTCCTACCGGAAGATGCATTAAAAGAAAAGCAGACATGGAAATCTGAAACCCAGCCATGTTTGTTCTTGCTGTGCCGTTGGAGTCATACCACTGCTTTGCCTCTTTGCAAGGTTTGCCTCTCTCTGATCTTGAACTCCCACTCAATTTCTAGGAACTCCTCAAGCCCATGTTACAAAGAAGCCTCCTGCCAAGCCTCCTGCTGCTCTGTAGAGCCTCCAGGTGGAAAAGTCCAGTGCCCTAGCTGGCTTCCTTGGAGCTGAACAAACTTTCTGGAATGTTCTTGCACCAACTGCTCGTATTTCTTCCAGACTCATCAGGGTTTCTCTAGATGGCATCCTGATTATTACCCCATGCTCTTCTCTACACGGGGTCTCCCAGGGCTCAGTATCTCCCCTGGCTCTCTAGCTGCCACACCACGTGGTGCAAACAGAAACCCTTTTACCAGCCAGAATCTGCCAAGTAGGACCAAACCCTGGATCTGGAAGCCCATCTCAACTGACCACAGCACCTGTGGTGCACGTGTCAGGGCACGACCTATTAGGGCACAGACAACAGCCTAGTGTGGGGAAAACACCAGGGCTTAGGGTTATAAGTGCTTAGGTTCAAGTCCTTGCACTGCCAGTGACCAGCTCTGCAACTCTGCCATGTCTCGGGCTCAGACTCTCAATTTCCTCACCTACATACAGCGTAGTTCCTAGGGTTGTCATGAGGAACAATGTATACCCACGCACATCCCCTGATGGGGCCATGTCTCCCCACCACCGTGTGTCTGCCCTGGCTTTTGGTGTCAAGGTCGAGGGTGGTGGCAGGTGCTGGGCTCACAAAACTCTTTCCTGTTCTTTGGCATGATTGATGCCCCAAAGAACAAACATTTCAATGGACTGGGCACTGGTCCTCAACCAGCTCCACGGGGATAGAACAGACAATGGGGAGAGTCATCAGGGTAGGCACAATCCAGAGATGGGGGAGGGATCAAGATTTCAGCAAGCCCTGGGCCACAGGGAGGGACAAAAGGGGGCCATGAGGCCTCCAGAACACAGCTCCTGGGGGGAAGCTACATCCTGGGTGACCCCTGTGTTCCCCACACCAAGCCCTGATCCTGACACACAGCAGGTGCCCACTACGTGGTGAGCGAACGAATGAACTGAATGAGATAAAGCAGGAAGGCACTGCATATACTGCAACAGGTGAGTGGTCCATGAGCCGCTAAAGAAGGAAGTGTTGGCTGCCTCCGCACTTCACTGATGCGACTCTCAGGACACAGGTTGTCACCTGGTACAGTCCAGTCTCCCTCATTCCCCAGGTGGGAGCCTGAGGGTCACTTGGCAGAATGACGCCTCCAAGGCGAAGACGTTGATGACTTGCTCAGAACCCACTCCGATTCCAACCTGGGGAGCAAATTCATGGGTCTTACTCCTTGTGAATGCTCCTTGCTGGCAGAAGCTGCAGCTCACAATGGTGGTCACCTGGTCACCTCTTGAGAGAGATCCTGTCAGCTCATTCCCTCAGGAAGGGGGCAGGAAGGCAAAGGTACCTCACGGGGGGCTCCACAGCCTGCCCAAAGAGGCAGCTAGGACACCATCTTCAACACTAACCATGACAGCAAGTCCAGCCAACTCCGGATCTAGGGCTGGCTTGAATGATTGGACCATCTGTCTCTTAATCCATGGGCAACCTAAAGCAAAACAACTGCCTTTCAGAATCAATTACTGAGCAGGCAGATGGGGCTGGGAGGGCCGCCGGGAGTCCATATATAGAATTGGTCTTACTTGGGGGCAGGAATGTTGTTTGAAACCAAAGAAATAAAAGCTCCAAGAAGCCAGCGTGGAGCAGTTTGGTCCTCAGGAAGCCCGTTTGCATGTCCAGGTGACAGGATAGGACTGTGCCCACGTGCCATGGCAAACCCCTCTATGAGGTCAGGGCCTGGCAGAGTAGGTGTCGGTGAGACACTGCCAAGTTCATGGTGTCACTAGTGAACCTGTCAGCTAAACGATGTGTGGTCAGTTTCTCCGCCCCTGTCCCCATTGCCCCATCTGGACCCCTGAGCTCCCAGACACATCCTGTCTGAATGCAAGAGGCATCTAAGAAGCCCCGGTCAGCTGGGGTCAAACACGGAGCAGCTCTTCTGGGCACTGTGACCCCACAGACAGTTGCCAGCCAGGGTGGCCTTTAGGTTCACCCACGGTTCTCAGGGCTCGGCTTCTGTGCTGCTTGGAAAACTCACTCGACAGCCCTCCCCAGAACCCCTGTGAAGCCTTAGCTTTTGATCCAATACCTTTTTTTTTTTTTTTTTTTTGGAGACAGAGTCTCACTCTGTCGCCCAGGCTGGAGTACAATGGCATGATTTTGGCTCACTGCAACCTCCGCCTCCCGGGTTCAAGCGATTCTCCTGCCTCAGCCTCCTGAGTAGCTAGGATTACAGGCACCTGCCACCACATCCGGCAAATTTTGTATTTTTAGTAGAGACGGGTTTTCACCATGTTGGTCAGGCTGGTCTCGAACTCCTGACCTCATGATTCGCCCGCCTTGGCCTCCCAAAGTGCTGGGATTACAGGCGTGAGCCACCGCGCCCGGCTGTTCCAATACCTCTTTACCTGGGCTCTGCCCCATTCTTGAACTAATCCGTCAGCTCTCCTGGAGCCCTGTTACTAGGGCATGACCAGAGGCGGTGAGCCTGGACCCTGGGCTGTGCCTCTGCCTCCATCACCACTGTCCTACCCTTGCCAGTGGTGGGGGTGGTCTCCCAGGCTCTGACTCCTTCCCAATCTGCCTCTCCCAGCCATGAAAAGAATGGCCCCCAGCATGTGCAACAGTGCACAGCCCTATTATTTTACAAAGGAGCCTTCTGTGATTAGAGGAAGCGGATTTGTGCTCATCATCTTGCAGTGAGGACAAACCTGAGTTTCCCATTCCTCCTTTGAGCTGGGCCCCTTCAGGGTCCAATTCCTTACCCTGAGAAGCCCAAGGCCTCCTTCCCTATCCTGCTTGGACATTAAGACCCAAACAGAGTGGCCATGCAGCCTGGCGACTTCCCTCCGCTGAGCCCCACGGCCACACAGCCTATCTCTAACTCTCTCCACTGTGGGTCTTTGTTCTTTCTTCATTTTTGGATCCAAGGGATTGCCTTACTTTTCTGCTAGTTCAGCTATGCATTTACAATAATGTTTGCTAAATTTTATGCAGCATTTCTAGGTGCTTTATAGTTAGGGAATTTTCTGATTATCTAGCTCACACCACTGCTAGAAATCTAGGTCTCCTGGATGGGTGCGTGGCTCACGCCTGTAATCCCAGCACTCTGGGAGGCCGAGACAGGCAGATCACCTGAGGTCAGTAATTCAAGACCAGCCTGGCCAATGTGGTGAAACCCCGTCTCTACTAAAAATACAAAAAACATTAGCCGGGTGTGGTGGCAGGTGCCTGTAATCCTAGCTCCTCGGGAGGCTGAGGCAGGAGAATTGTTTGAACCGGAGAGGTGGGGGTTGCAGTGAGCCGAGATTGGGCCATTGCATTCTAGCCTGGCCTGGGTGACAGAGTGAGACTCTGTCTCAAAAATAAAAAATCAAATATAAAAATTAAAAAAAAGAAAGAAATCTAGGTCTCCCTCTGCAATTTACAAAATAGACCGTAGCTCAGAGAGGGGCAGTGAGCTGCCGGAGGCCACACAGCATGTCTGAGGCATACCCAGGCCCCCTAATCAGTTTCTCTCTCCTGCAGGGGACAGGCAAAGGTATGCTTCAGTCATGAACTCAAGCAGTTAAGCCTTCGATGGATCCTAACCCCATCCCTGCCCTGCCAGGAGCCTGTCCAGTGATGGCAATAGGGAAGGGAGGGCAGAGGTTGGCACAGGTTCTGCCCCAGGTAGTTTCATTGAGAGGTTGTGGGGGATGGGCAGCCAGAGCGGGTGGGACAGACGGACAAAGCTCAGGAAGAGGCTGGCACACTCACGCTTCCTGGAGCCCGGCTGCAGCTCGTCCACACGGTACACGGAGAGCCGGTCCACAGCCCCGCACACAGAGCCCTTCTCGCCTTTGCACTCATGGTTACACTCTTCCAGCCCCACGCTCACCGCTGGCAGCCGGTTCCCGCAGTAACACTCCGCCCCGGCCTCCAAGCCGGCGTAGACATAGGACCTGCAGGGAGGAGGCCTGGGTGAGTCCGGACCTTGGCCCAGAGCTAGGGCTGCGGTCTAAACTGCAGACTGTTTCAGCTTGATGTAGATTAGAAAGTATGTTTTTTTTTTGTTTTTTGTTTTAATTATACTTTAAGTTTTAGGGTACATGTGCACAACGTGCAGGTTAGTTACATATGTATACATGTGCCGTAAGGACCTTGTCTTTTCTTTCTCCAGCCTCAGATTCTCCATCTGTATAAGAGGGATAACTCCTTGCTACCTGGCAGACTGTGGAGAGGATTTATGTGGGTCATGCAATGGCAACTGAGTCTGGAGTCAGGAAACGGACTGGACTTGAAGCTGAGTTTGGGTCTAGGTGAACAGACAGGGGCCACAGCCATCGGCCTATGGCTGGCCTTAGGAATCAGTCTCTAGCCAGACTCAAGGGCCACCAGGCTAAGTTCAGGCAACAGTCTTTCCTTTGTGATAAACGAATGGAACCAGCCCCGTTGGTCCCTCTTGCCAGCCCTGAGCTCTGCCCTGCAGAGTGCCGTGGTTACAGGTTATAATGGGTCTAAATCTGTGATGTGCCTGTAAGCTGGTTCTCAGTATGCGACAGGGAGAGCTCTGGTTTGTACTGTTTGCCAATTTCTGTGATGTAAACACTCCCACTATAGGAGATTTTAAGCTCCCAATGGTTTTAGAACGGGCTCACAACAACTCTAAACATTTAACAGCTTCCCATGGTGAGCGGCCGTGAGCTGGTCTGAAGTGCCTGCCACGTGTCACATCTTGTTACACATGGGCCCTACTGCACAGCCCCCATCTCCACAGCCATTTCTCTACTTACTTTGACCTAGTAATACCGTAGGTAAAGAAAGGTTGGAAACAGAACCCTCAATGAATCACACAGGACTTCAGCTACAGAAAGCAGTCAACACTTTCAAATCAGTGGATTTAGATGTGAAAAGCCCAGACTGAAAATCCAAACACAAGCTTCAAGTCCCCATTTGACCACGTCCTGGCGGTGAGACCCTGAACATGACTTACCATCTCTGAGTCTCAGTTTCCTGATCTATTAGGAGACTAAAAAGAGAATGTATCATCCTGTTTCCACCGTATCTAGACCATAACGTATGTTTATGTAAGGACCTTGTCTTTTCTTTCTCCAGCGTCAGTTTCTCCATCTGTAAAATGGGGATAACTAATTGCTACCTGGCTGACTATGGAAAGAATTTATGTGACATAACAAAGGTGAGGCCGGGTGTGGTGGCTCACGCCTGTAATCCCAGTACTTTGGGAGGCTGAGGCGGGCAGATCATGAGGTCAGGAGATTGAGACCATCCTGGCTAACACAGTGAAACCCCATCTCTACTAAAAATACAAAAAATTAGCCGGGCGTGGTGGTGGGCGCCTGTAGTCCCAGCTACTCGGGAGGCTGAGGCAGGCGAATGGCGTGAACCCAGGAGGTGGAGCTTGCAGTGAGTGGAGATCGCGCCACTGCACTCCAGCCTGGGCAACAGAGCGAGACTCCGTCTCAAAAAAAAAAAAAAGGTGAAAAAAATCTGTGGGAGAAATAAGTGAAGAGGGAAGTCTGATTCTGTTTAACCCACCTCTCTCAGATGTGTGTGTGTGTGTGTGTGCAGCACACACAGACACACAGTCAGTTGTGAGGGCCTTGACATTAGGAACCATTTCCCTGGCACATGACAAGTGTCTGGCAACTACTGGGTGAGCTGGAAGTATCAGAAAAAGTAAACCTTGTTATAGACACAAGGTGAAAATACTTTTCCTACCAGAGCTGGAAAGATCCTCTCAGAGAAATCTCAGTTAAAGCCCTTTATCTTATTGTAAAATATATAAGTAAACTGAGGCCCAGAGAAGGAAAAGAACTCATCAAAGTCACACGCTGAGTCCCTGCTATGGCTGGACTGGAAGTCGCATCTCCCTGCACCCAGCACCAGCACCCAAGCTCCCAGCACCCAGGTCATCACCCAACTCCCAGCACCCAGGCGGTCACCCAGCTCTCAGCACCCAGGCCATCACCCAGCACCCAGCTCCCGGCACCCAGGTCATCTGCCAACAAACTTCCTTTCTTCTGGAAAACTGGGATCTGAGCAGTGAGTTCCAATTATGCTATGACAGCCAACTGGTAGCTGATATGCCTCCTCATTCTGGAACTGTCCCTGGACCTTCCTGCCTCTAGAATCAACAGTCCAGGGCCCCAGCACTCACCGCTCAGCACACGCATCCTGGCAGTGGGAGACAGTCATCTTTCTCAAGTCATAAAACACAGCTCCTTTCAGAGTCCTCTCGTGGCCATCGTCACTGAAGCATCCAATGTAGGTGCCTGCAGAAAGGGAAGCATGGCTAATACCAGAGGCCCAGGAATCATGGGCCCACCCTTAGGAAAAGCCAGGGGAACCTCTGCCTTCCTGGCCAAGGCCACTCTCAGAGAAACCCGGGAGATGAGTGCTGCAGGCTACCTCCCTCCCACTCAGTGCTGAGCAAAGTGAGCATCTGACACCTCCCACTTGTTTGTTTCCTGCCCATTTTCTCTTTTTTAATGGCCCACTGTCCACCCTGACGGCTCTGCCAGGAGCCAGGCGTCGGCCTGACCACTGCTTTCTTCCACTACCCCAACTCAGAAGTTGGGAAGGCTGGATTACCTCTCATGGACTCTACCCCTCCTCTCTAGCCCTGCCCTCCCTGGGCTCAGAGAGGCCTCTCTACCTTGGCAAATGCCCTGAGAGACAGGGTCGTTGCCTCCTTGGGGGCCAGAGAGAAGAAATCAGTTAGGGCAAGTTTGATTTTAGCAAATTTAAGGAAGATCTTTCAAACGGGGAAAGCTATTTCAAGATAAAGTCTGTCGTCCCAAGAGGGAGTAAGACCCCATCTCTGGAGTGTGTCCGCAGAGTCTGTTAAGAATGGGAGCAAGTGTCCTGTGTGGGAAACAACAGGGCCAAGTGACCGCAGAGGCCTCTCCAGGCTGGTCACCTGCACACATCCCTGGAAGGGGATACTGGGGACACTCATGCTGCAGTGAGAAGCCAGCCGTGCACGCGCCAGTGAGAGTCTGTCACAGCCCTGCCCTGCCACCCCGAGGGAGGGAGACATCTCCCAGAGATGCACAGAGAAGTTGGGAGATGGCAGTCCTGATGCAAACGCGGGTAGGCATGTAAATGTCACGCGCACCAGTGTTTTGAAGGAGCGGCATGGGAATTTGCAAACACGCCGTCACACAGTCCCCAAGCCGTGAACGCACACCCACAATAGCTGCGCCGAGATCTGGATCGGGCACCTGTGATAAACACGCTGCACGTCTCCCCAGGAAGGGCCGCGTTCCGCTCATTCATGTCACCTGGGGAGCGCACCACTGCCTCCAGAGAAATTAGGCTGTCTCTGGGAAGTAACATGCCCAGGACCTCCCAGCAGCCTGCCAGTGGCTCCCAAGCGGCTTTTTAGTGAGGAGAAAAGTCCTGATGGTCCACAGGCCTGGATGCTCCGTGAGGGCAAGGGAGACTGTCTCTGTTCCTGCCAAGAGCCTGGTCCAGGGCAGCGGCTGGGGGAGTGGGGCCACTGCTGAGTGGCCTAGGGGAGGAAGTCTGCCAACCATCCACTTCTGGGCCTGAATCGGGGAGTGACTTTTCTTTGTACTTAGCAGAGAGCCTAAATACAAAGAAGGGGGCCAGGTGCTGTGGCTCACACCTATAATGCCAGCACTTTGGGAGGCCGGGGCGGGTGGATCACTTGAGATCAGGAGTTCGAGACCAGCCTGGTCAACATGGTGAAACCCCGTCTCTACTAAAAATACAAAAAATATATACATACCAAAAATTAGCTGGATGTGGTAGCACACACCTGTAATCCCAGCTACTCCAGAGGCTGAGGCAGGAGAATCACTTGAACCTAGGAGGTGGAGGTTGCAGTGAGCTGGGATCATGCCACTGCACTCCAGCCTGGGTGACAGAGCAAGACTCTGTCTGAATATATATATATGAATGAACAATTATAGTACTATTTATTATCCATGGGGACTAGCAGTAATGCATGAAGTACATAAGTATATATATATATATATATATATATGAAGTCAGGACGGTCTTACTGACTGCACCAAGGTGCAATATCCAGGGCCCCAGGTTAAGGCAAAGCAGAGGAGAACAAGCGAGATGGCAGGAGACAGGACTCCCCACCACACCAAGACCCAAGGGACCCAGGAGACCCTCGGACCACAGAACCCCAGGGCTGAGGAGGGAACAACGGCCACCTTCTCCAGTGTTTGCCAAAGGGTCTGGTTCCCAGCCAGGCTCTGAGCCTCTTGAGGTCACCTTCATCTGGGGACGCCCATCAGCACACATGGCCACGCCCACAGGCACATGCTACTGCCCTCCACTGCCCAGACATCCAGTCCCACGTGCATCTCTCTACTTCTGTAAGTCTCAGGTCCACCGCCACCAGCACGGACCACTGCACAGAGCTTTCACCCGGGTCAGTGAGAATGGATCCTTCTCCTCTGCCTGCCTACTTAGTAAAAGAAAACTAATATTTGAGAAATTTCTGATGGGTTGCTCAGCAAAGAAGTTCCATTTCAGCTTTCAATTAAACAGCCAAAGCATAAGCTCAGGATTATTAAACATTTATCATTGTAGATGGGAAATTAACCACAAGGTTTTCAAGGTGCTTGGGCTCAAGACCTTCCCAGACTGAGACTGCACGTGGCTGTACATGCTTCCCAGGCTGTACATGCTTCTGAGGAAGTGGATGGAGACAGCCTTTGGGAATAGGCTCCACCACTATCTGGCTGTGCAAGCTGGGATGTGCAGCTGCCTCTCTCTGAGCCTCAACTTCCCCATCTATAAAATGGGGATACGGTTCCAATTCCATGAGGTAGTTGTGAAAATTCCATAAGGTAACACATGTAAAATGTCTAATACAAGGCTTGGCATGCAGTAATTACTCAGCAGCGATTGTTTTTACTGTTAATATATTGTTATTAATAATGAAAACATTTAAATTACTTTTCTTCCCAGAAACTCAAATTCTTCATCATTAAAACAGTGATAGCGGCACTTACATCATAAGGCTGTTTGAAGATTAAATTAAATGAGATAACAGATGTATGTCTATACAATACAATGCTTGGCACATAACAGATGTCCAAATAAATAACAGCCATTATTATTCTGATCCTACACTCTAACCTGGGACGTGTGATGGATGGATCAGTAAATATTAGCTGAATAATTAACACGTTAATAAAAGAGAGAAAAAAAATTGTTTCAAGCAGTCAGGCTCTGGTTCTTCTGGAAACAGGGAGTGGCCCACCTGTGACCAGCTGGCCATTTGATGGAGCTCACCGGCGTGGAGGGCGAGCCCGGGCCTGGCTGGCCCCGTCTCAGTGTGCGACGGGGATAAAAGAGGAGGCGAGCTCTTTTATCTGGACGCAGAATGAACAGCTTTTCTAACTCCCCGACAGAGGCGAGAATGTTCAGGAAAGAAAGAACTTCCGAGGGATACACTGGGACCCACTCTGAGGCGGATTTATTCCTTTCAGCTGAAATGGAGGCATTGCATTATTGTCTGTCACTCTGCATCTGTTCATTTGCACATCAAAATGGACATACCGTGAGGCTAGTAACGACGGCTTTGAAGATATTGGAATGTCTTTGGAAATTACTATCAATAAAAAACAAACTGGCTATGGAGAAGTTACTATTTTTCCCCTAGTAAACTTACAGACATTTTATTCCATTATGGATGTTGTCCAAGGTATAATGAAATGCTCAGTGATTGATGGAGCCTCCTGCAGCTTCCGCGCCTTACAGGATCCCCTTTCAGGAGGATGGCGGGCTGCCCGGGCCACAAAGAGACACCCGCTTTGTTTGAGGCCCCAGCAGCTGTCCTGAGGGCTGGGCTGCAGGCTACTCTCCACCAGTGAGGCCGGACTGGCTGTGCTTGGCCCATGGAGCCCCACGACAGGAAGGGGCCCACAGGGATTGCAGGCCAGCACCCTGCCTTCCCCCATTCTCTGATGACCATGAGAGCACAGCCTCCCCAGACTTGGTTGTTTTGCTGTTCAAAGGAGAGCAAATTCTTCCTTCGGTCCTGGCACACATTCACAATACTTGACAACCTATGGAGGGCACTGACCATTCAGAATTGCCACCATTTGGCACTGGAATCACATTAACCCTCTCTTTGCTGGATAAGGGGGAGGTCTGGGAGCCACTGGGGAGGCAGCCAGAGTGTAGATGGCACCCCAGCGGCCCAGGGCAGCAACCATTTACCAGCCAACCTGGAAGTATTATAATTATTTTAACAACTGATAAGACCATAGTGGTATATAAATTTGGATATCAGTCCTGCTTATATCTAGCCACAATCTCTCTAGCTTTTACTAGAGCCCCTTCCATCACTTCTGTAAGTCATTAGGGGTAACTTAAAGTAAAGGGGGGCTCACTGGTTCCCTGAGACATATACACTCTGCAGTCAGGGCTGAGCCCTCCCCTCTGCTGGTCACTTCTATTTTTATTTTTATTATTATTATATATATTTTTTGAGACAGGGTCTTGCTCTGTCGCCCAGGCTGGAGTGCAGTGGCGCGATCTCGGCTCACTGCAACCTCTGCCTCCTGGGTTCAAGCGATTCTCCTGCCTCAGCCTCCCAAGTAGCTGGAATTACAGGCACGTGCCACCACGCCTGGCTAATTTTTGTATTTTTAGTAGAGACAGGGTTTCACCATGTTGGCCAGGCTGGTCTCAAACTCCTAGTCTCAGGTGATCCGCCTGCCTCGGCTGGGCGTGGTGGCTCACGCCTGTAATCCTAGCGCTTTGGGAGGCTGCTGGTCAGTTATAAAGGTCACTTCTCACTGAGTCCACAGCCCACTTCGCACGTGCCTCTAGCAGACCTCGGTCGTGCTTTGTAGAAATAATTTGGGTGCATATCTGACTCTATCACCAGACCGAGCTCCTCCAGGGCACAGTGAGGTGCACACGTGAAGAGTCATTTGGTGGCTCATCAGTAAGCGTGGAATGAAGGCAATGAAGAGAGGAACTGAGCCCACTATGCCCAAGGTCACATGCCCAATAAGTGGCAATACACAGGTCTATTTTTAAAACGTGTGCATTTTACATGGCTTCCTCTCAAGTAACGTTGACTCCTGCCGGTCAAGTATACTTTAGTCCAAAGAAGTTTCACTGATAAAACCTGCACAGAGACCCAGTCTCTTGGTGTGTTGCGGAGAGTTTGCAGAAATCATGCCTGTGTCAAATGAGCTGAAGCATCAGCTCCTCATTCCTCCCTCCCTTCTGACACACGAGCCTTGCTGAGAAATCCTACAGCAAGTGCAATGGCCTGAATGATTTCTGAAGGAACTTCCTTCCACAGCGACATGAACCCACAGCCCTCCAGTCTTTATTTGACTGAGCTACCAGTCAGTCTCCTAAAGTAAGGACAGCTTGGGCTCCGTTCTCTTCCACAGAACCTTCTCGTCATGATCAAAATAAAGCCAAACTCCTAGGCCTGGCACTCGTGGCCCTCCCTAACCCAGGCCCCAGTGCTCCTCCTGCCTCATCTCCTTTTATATTCTGCCAGGTGGTCCACTGTGCTCTGGCCACACTTATTACAGTCCAGAGAGCAGTTCCTCTTCTGACTTCGGGTGCAGGGCCCAGTGAGGTGGTGACAGGGATGCTGAGAAGCTGACTGAGCTCAGTCACCCTCCAACAACAACTTCCACGCTTACTGGGAGCTCCCCAAGCACCAGGCACATTTGCTGCACCCTGCAGAGAGAGTCTGCATAATTCAGCATAAACAGCTCCAACCCGGAGCCAGACTGTCCCCACGCTGGCATCCAGCAGTGTGACGATGGTAGACCCTGCCGTGTCCCTTCCATGTCTCCCAGGCCTGCCACTTCCAGCGGGTCCTTTGAGATGTGTATTCTGCTCTGGTACTGAGCCTCCAGCCGGATGAAGTCTGGTTGCCCATTTGTAACCTGCTTGATAACACACCCTTCACTGGCTGCCTTCCCTTCCCTGTCCCACTTCCCGCGCCCCCACTAGTGTTCCCTGGGATCACATCCCAAATATACTGGATGCACGTGAATCCTGGTTTCAGAGTTTGCTTCTAGGGAACCCACACTAAGAGAATAACCTTGGCAATTGACTCAACTTCTCCATGCCTTGGTTTCTTTACCTGTAAAACTGCGATATAATAATAATACCTGTAAACAGCAGACTTACAGGTGCATAGGAAATCCCATATGCATTAGCTGCTTTTATTAAGTCATAATAGCTGCCAGTTAGAGTGCCAAATAATATACCAGGGCCTCTGTCCTGGGAGTTCTCAGCTTCAGCATGCATCAGACTCACCTGGAGACAGCGTTAAATACAAAGCCTGCTGGCCCCTACCCCAGAGTTCCTGACTAGGCAACTCCGGGAGAATCTGAGAATTTGCACTTGTGACAAGATCCCAGGCGGAGCTGATGCTGCTGGTCAGGGACCCCACTTTGTGACCCATTCCTCTGTGTTATCACATTTGCTTGTCACAATAGCCCAGGAATGGCGTCTTTAGCTCCATTTCAGGCAGACCTGGTGACATTAAGTGACACGTCTAATTTTTTTTTTTTCTTTTTTTTGAGACAGAGTCTCCTTCCCAGGCTGGAGTGCAGTGGCCCGATCTCTGCTCACGGCAACCTCTGCTTCCCAGATTCCAGCGATTCTGGTACCTCAGCCTCTCGAGCAGCTGGGATTACAGGTATGCGCCACCACACCCGGCTAATTTTTGTATTTTTAGCAGAGATGGGCTTTCACCATGTTGGCCAGGCTGGTCTTGAACTCCTGACCTCAAGTGATCTGCCCGCCTCGGTCTCCCAAAGTGCTGGGATTACAGGCATGAGCCACTGCGCCCAACCTATTTTCATATATTCAATGAAACTTGTCCTACTAGATTCTCTGAGATTAAAAAAAAAAATTGTTGGCCAGGATTCCAGCCAATGTCTGTCTGAATCCAAAGCCGGAGCGCTAAGTGACCTGCTCACAACATCTCAGCCTTGAGCCATGTGGAACTCCAGCTGGTGAGTGAGCAAAACCCTGAAGGACTTCGCATCGCAGGCCCCTTCCTGTCCTGCAGAGCAGAAGGAAAGAACCATCTAGCGGTGAAGGCCACAGGCCTGCAGAGAGAAAGGGGACACCAAACCTGTGACCCTGAATGGGGGGTCCTGGGAACAGCTCCCCCAAATGCAGCTGAGCGCCTACCTCGGCTGTGGATGGCGGGCCTGGCAGCCTCGGGGCCCAGGGCGGGCGGTCCCTGGGAGTCACTCATGAAGTGGTGGAACCAGCGGCGACGCAACTGACGCAGCTCCGAGTTGCGGCTCCGGAGCCAGCGGGGGCCGGGCCGGGGCCGGGTCAGGGGGCTCTGCAGCATGTCCACACCCAGCAGCAGCTCTGGGCTGACTCGAGGGTCGTGCAGGGCTCTGCTGTCCAGCAAGCCCACGCCCAGCGCCACGGCGGCCACTGGCAAGGTCTGCAGGGGGCCGGGTGCCCGGGGGCCCTGTGGGAGAGCCACGCGGACCCGCTGCAGCAGCAGCAGGCTGCCGGTCATCAGGTAGGCAGCCGTGAGGAAGAACAGCAGGAACTGTGTTCGGCGGAGAAACTTCTGGAGTCGGAAGAAAGGTTTGGCCATGCCCCTGGGCAGCAGGGCTCCTGGCTGGAGCCCCGGGATGGCTCCTAGCGCCCAGGTGGGAGTGAGGCCAGGGCCTCCGGAGGCGTCATCCTTGCATCCTGGCTCCTGGCACCTGCCTGTGCTCGCCTGGGGTCACTCACTGTTCCTGCCCCGTTTCCAGTAGGTGTTCAAATGGCACCATTACTTATCTCCAGTGGCCACAGGGTCCTGCAGCTGCAGCCTCTGCCCAGGCGTCAAGGACATCTCCATTCCAGGGCTCTACCGCCCCTCATCTCCTGGCGCAGAAATCTGGAAGGTGGAGAAAGAGCACCGAGATGTAATAGGCGGGTCCACTACCTGGCACTCCCAGGCTGGGACACCCCTCACCCTGTGCTTGCTTTATCCAAGGACCAGCTGTGTTGCAGGAGCACTGGACAAAGCCAGGTTTAAATCCCAGCTTTGTTACTGGCCAGCTGTGTGACACTGGGTAGGTTGCTTAACCTTGCTGGGCCTCAGCTTCCCCATCTGTAAAATGGGGACAACAGCTCTCCCCTTGAGGAATAATGAGGAGTCAGTGATGACAGCAATATCAATAAGGGGGAGGAGGAACAGCAGCAGGGGCTCTTCCTCAGCCCTTCCTGTGTGTCAAGCACTCAGCTAAACACTTTACATATTATCTCACTTAACCCTGAAACCAATCCAACAACCTAGAGATATCATATCCCTGTTACACAGATGAGGAAACTGGCAAAAGAAGGCATATTAGCTAGTTTTTCCCAAGCCACACAGCTGGTAAACAGGAGAGCCAAGGTTTTGAAGAGTCTGTGTTCGGAGCCTGGACTCTCAATGACTGCATGGCCCAGCCTGCAATGAGACACTACCACATATAAATGTACCTAGCCCAGGCAGGACTATGTTGCAGATGCTTGATATATGCATGCAATCAGCTGACTCCCAGGGGTGCACTGGAACTGTGAGCCTGGGTTGGAAGGAGCTTCTGCACAGGCTGGTCGTTGGCTTTCACACAGGATGGGGCCCAGGGGAGGGAGGGGCTTGTGTAGCCTTCCCAGGCCTCCTGGACTCCAGAGGCCAGAATCAAAGGACCAGGGTAGCGCCTGAGCCGTGCACCTGCAAACAGAGGCTGAGCACCCAGAGAAGAGAAGGCAGAAGGCTCTCTGATCTGCCTTCCATGGGTCTCTCCACTCCCCAGGACTCAGCTGTCACTCTGGGTTTCGGTTCTCATTGGCGGCACCTCTGAAGTGTGCTGTTGGGGTTGGGAGAGGGTTTTGCAGCTGCCACGACCTGGGCTGTTGCGTGAGCAAAGCCCTTAGCACAAGGACAGGCTTATCCCAGAAAAAAAGGCCCCTAGAAGCGTGACTAAGCCACTGCCCGTAACTAACTTGGTCCGGGCCCCCCGCCAGGCCTGTGCAGCCACTCAATGGCTACTCTGTGCACCAGGGACAGACAGCGGGTGTGAGAGGAAGGACAATGTTTGGGCTGGCATTCCAGGCCCCCAGAAAGCTTGGAGGCTTCGGACAAAGACCCCAGATAGGCATGACCCTCTCTGAGTAAATGGCGAGGGCCGCCAGGTTCCGAGGCCCTCGGGGAGAGCAGAGATCTGGAAATCTGGGTCGGCTGGTCCTTTAGGCTGGGGCGGAGGTAGCAGACTCAGTAATCAGCAAATGAAGGTGGAATTAAACTCTGGGCTGGGAAATTGCAGACGGTTCTCCAGAGCTTCTATTTTCTAGGCTGATATGTCTGCCAGGCCCACCCCAGACAACCTCATCAGATTTGTAAAACCACAGAGAAAATCCCAAGAAATCCTGACTGATCTCTCTGCCTCCAGCTTTGGACCCTCCAATCCATCTTCCACAAGGCTGCCAGGGTGATCCTCCTAACATGCACATCTGATCATGGCGCGTCCCTGCTTAAAACCCCGTTCAATAGCCCCCTGTGGTTACTGGATAAACTCTAAGCTCCTTAGCATGACACACAAGGGCCCCTTCATGATCCAGCCCATCCAGCCTCATCTCTTGCCAGGTCTCTTCCTTTGGCTTCCCCATCTCACATGCACACGCATGCATGCACGCACACACACGCACACACACACACACACACCCTCCACATTCCAGCAGAGCCACCGGGAACCGGAACCACAGCACATCTGCCTCGGTGCCTTTGCACAAGCTACCCTTTATTTATGCTGTTTCCTTCCTCTTCACTTATCAAATCCCTGTGTATCCTCTAAGGCTCAGGCCAGATATTGTTCCTCAGAGAAAGCTTCCCTGAAGATTCCTCAGTCTTTCCACAGCCCCTGCTGACCCTCAGCCCAGCACTCACCATCCCGGGGTTGATCAGAACTGTCCATCTACTTGTCGGTTACCCTCCAAAGTCTGTAATCTCCTTAGGGGTAGAGGCCATGCCTCATTCATTTTCCTAACCCCAGCCCCAGCATGAGGCCTGGGAGTGTGGATGCTCAGTGATCATTGTTTATGAATACATCTTAAAAATGAACGAGACCACAGATAAATTGATACGCAAATCCTGACATCAGAAACCTGCTCCTATGGAGTCAGGGCAGTGAAATCTCAAATTCCACTTACCCAGAGCCATGGATGAAGCCTGAAACATGGGAGAGATGGAGCAGTGCATAGGCACAGGCCCCCAGGCGGTCCAGGAACACAGCTTAACGGAGCTGAGGGCTTTCAGACGCATGGAGTTAACAAGAGTGCCTGGGCTGAGCTTTATGTCATCCTTTCTGTGATGTAATTCTATGAGGAGGGGTCTCCAGGTCTGCTCACAAAGGGGCTCCGGTTACAAACTAGGGAGCACATTAATCCTGTATAACTGAAGGGAAGAGGGTAGCACTCCTGCTGTGAAAAGTTTTCTGATGAGATGGAGCAGAAAGGCAGGCAGGAGTTCAACAATTCGGAATTTTGAAGGCAGAGTATACTGGTGAATTCCGTATAGACTTTCTAGATAGGATTTGGATATACAATACAAGTAGGGCTGGGGTGAGGAGTGGTCAGAGCTGATGAATCAGGATTCAATACATCTCACACAGGGTCCCAAGGTCCTCCAAAGTATTTTCTGGCGCTCCCCCTTCCCAGAAGGGGTTTCCCTGGTCTGGGGAGGTGGGTGCTGGTGTGGACACAACAGACAGCCACGTGCAGGCCAGATTTCCATGGCCCAGGTCTTCTATGAAGCAGGCTGCACTCCCAACTTTTAAAATCACAAAGCAGATTCCTAGCCTGGAAAACTCATTGCGGGTAGACTGGTAGGGAGAAACAAAAGACTGGGCATAGTGGCTCATGCCTGTAATCCCAGCACCTTGGGAGGCCGAGGCGGGTGGATCACAAGGTCAAGAGATGGAGACCATCCTGGCCAACATGGTGAAACCCCGTCTCTACTAAAAATACAAAAATTAGCTGGATGTGGTGGCATGCACCTGTAATCCCAGCTACTCAGGAGGCTGAGGCAGGAGAAATGCTTAAACCTGGGAGGCGGAGGTTGCAGTGAGCCAAGATCACACCACTGCACTCCAGCCTGGTGACAGAGCAAGACTCTGTCTCAAAAAAAAAAAAAAAAAAAGCATCAGGAACTTGCAGGAACTTGTCACCCTGCCCTGGACTTCCACCACACTTTATAGCCAACATCACATCACACTGTCTCTCCTCAAGGCTGGCAGCCCCCCTCCAGGGCACAGACCACACCTCGTTTATCTCCATGTTCCCAGATCCCAGCACACAGCTAGCAGGGCAGTGATGGTAAATGTTTGCTAAGTGAATGAACCCAAAAGAGACCTGGGGGTGGGCTGGGAAACTTGGAGCATCTACACAAGGGCTCACAGCCAAGCCACGAGGTAAGTCAGACAGCACAACCGGCCAACACCTGGGGTCGGGGGCAGAATGCTAGCCACTGCTCATCTGCATAGGGCCTGGGAGGCCATCAGCTATACCCACTACATCCGAAAGCCAGCAGGCTGTCCATGACAGTAAACCTACCTCGAGCAAAGCATTGCACAGGGCAGGGCCTCAGGCTCATTGTCCATTAAATGGGGGTAAATATGCTTTATGGGATCGAATTAGGGAGTGGACATGAAACCTCCGCTACTCTGTTCCCTACAGACTGTGGCATGGATTGGTTATGAATGCAAAAGAGGCAAGCAAGGAAAAGCCGGAGGACGGGCCTGTAGTAGCTGTGCCACTGGTGAAGTCAGACTCAAGAGGCCTCTCCCCAGCTCTGAGCCCCCACAGTCCCTGGAGTGCACCCAGGATCCCACTCTTGCTCACAGCTGATCCCCATGCTGAGACTGCTGTTAGCAATTGCTTTGTCAATGCCACCATTTATGAAGCATTTGCAGTGTGAATAGGTTGAACTGGGCTGTGCACTTTACCTGCACCATCTCATTTCCTCCAGACAACCCACCAAGCAAATGCCCCGCATACCCCATTTGAGCACTGAGGTCTCTGAAGCTCAGCCAGGTGATGCACACTGCCTAAAGCCAGACAGCTCAGGGCCAGCACTCAGACCAGGCCACCTGCTCCCAGGGCCTACATTATGCCCACGAAGCTTCCTATTTCTCTCCCCATCCCAGCTCCGGTTTCACACGAGGCAAGATTTATTCTTGAGAGGAGTTTAGTGCGCCTCTGTCAGCACCTTTTTGAAGTCATGCCGGGCCAAAGCTCCTAGAGATGATGCCACACATGGTGTCTCCCCAGCCAAGCCTTCCAGACAGTGCCTTGTCCGTGAGTGTTCCCGCCCCAGCCCACTGGGACTGGGAGGCAGCCTGGGGCCCCTCCCCTCTGAAAGTCTGGAGAATTTTTCCCCAAGGTGTGCTTCCTGTGGGCACCTCCCATCTTGGAACCCTGCAGAGTGCTTCAGGGGGAGGCTAGAGGGGTTCTATCCCTGCCTGGGGCTTGGCCTTATTGGGGGTAGAGGGGGCACGCCAGGGCTGGACAAAGGTGCACACCCACTGCCCTGTCCTGGGGTCACCCTACAGAAGAGCAGGGCCTGGGGAGGGAGATTCTGAGTTCCCTGTCAAGCATGAGAAGAGAGTAACAGAACAAATGGGCTTCTGGAAGTCTCAGGGAGGGAGCAGGAGCCCAGAGCACCTGGATATTCAGACAACCTGAGCTTTTGTCTATTACTTTGTTGCCATCTGGGACCGAGGGAGCAGCAACTGCCCAGCCTGAATGATGGGTGGCTTGGGCTGGTCAGGTGGCCACTTCTCAGCCAGGCTAGGGGTCCAGAGACTGAGGGGTGGCAGCAGGGAGAGGAGAGGAGGCAGTCCCTGGGGCTGGGGGCTGCAAGATAGAACTCGGAGCTGGCCCAGGTGCAGCCAGTGGCCACTGGGGTTCAGTCAGATGACTCAACCTCCCCGTGACCCCCGGTCAGAGAGAACAGGCAGAGGCAGCTGAAGGGAAAATGACACCAGACATCCCCAGAAGGATCTCAGCTACTGTGGCAGCTGCAGCAAGGGCTGCAAACCTCTTGGGACTTGGAGCTGCCTGCTCTTTGCAGGGCAGGAGCCCCAGCGACAAGAATAGGGCCCAGAACGTTGCTCTCTAGACAAGGTGATGGGCATCTGGGTCCTAGAAGCTCGAAGCCTCAGCCTCAGTGACTGGCAGCCAGGGGGTCTCAGCTTCAGGACCCGGGCAGAGTACATGCAGGAGCCTCCAGCTGGGCTCACAGCTCCTGGATTCCCCTCCTGTGACTTTCCCCTTGCCCCTGCCCCTACCCCGCTCAGGCATAGCGCCTGGCTTCTGTACCCCATCCCCTCTCCAAAAGACTGTCCCCTTTCCATCTAAGAAAGTGATCTTTCTAATATGAGGAGCTAATGATGCCACAGCCTGTAATGGCTTCCCAGGGATTGACAAGCAAGCCCTGTATCCCACCAGAGCATCACCTGGTTAGCGAGAGAGGCGTCAAGCACCCTCACGCATGCCCTTCCACCAGCCAGGGATGCTTGTGCCCCATCTCACGGCTCTGAAATGCTTCAGGCCATCAAGGTTCAGCTCCCATGCCTCCTCTTCCATGAAGCCTCCCTGATCTCTGGAGCAGAACCACTCCTCAGTGCTAGGCACTAAGCAGCAAGGCTGCTGCTACAAACTGTGCCTGGGTAGTGTGTGGTCTTGAGTCAGGGTTCCCTGCTAATGTCCCTACCTCTCCTTCCAGCCTGTAGGCCTGTCAAAGGCACAGTCAGTGCCTCTGCCCACCTCTGGGTGGGGCACAGGGAATGCCCCTGAAAATAAGTGCCTGCTGGACTGGACATCCTTCGATGCTCAGGGCCATGCTGCCATTACTGACAGGCCTAACAACTCTGGGTCTTGGAGACTGAGAAAAAGCAAGAGACCCACTAAACAAAAATCTGTTGGGCCCTTTGGGGGAACAAGGTCTGGGAAATGCAAATGGGGTGGGATCCCTGTCTTTGATGAGGCAAATCTCTTGAGAGTTTGAACTTCAGAGCTTGAAAAAAGATTCAAAATTTTAATATGTTGCTAAAAGGGTATAAAACATAATAGGTCAAAACTCCATTCCACACAAAGGAGGGAAACCTCTTCAATTAACCCACTGTTGGGGTTCATATAAATAAAAAATTTAACATACCATATTAGAGTTCCAGGTACTTTCACCAACTGTCAAGTGCATTGGATGAATGATCAGATGAACAAATGAATGAGTGATCTTCCCACAAATCTGTGAGGCCAAAATCATTATCGTCCCCATCATACAGATGCAGAATCTGAGACAGAGAAGGCCAATTAACTTGAACAAATACAAACGGCTATTGCTAAGTCGCTCTGATTCCAGAGCATATCATCACCAGCCATATCACATGGTCTTCATGTGTGCAATACCAAGGACAGAGATCCTTCCAAGCACCATGCTGGAGGCTGGGTCCACACAGAAAGACACAGCACCAGCGCCGGGGCCGGCATTTTTCCTTTCCTGGTGCCTGATTTGGAGCCTTTCTCACTTTTGAAACAGCCAGTCGCAACCTTTTCCAGCCTATCTCTGGGTTATCTCTTTTATTTTTATTTATTTTTCAAGAAGGAGTCTCGCTCTGTCGCCCAAGCTAGAATGTAGTGGCATGATCTTGGCTCACCGCAACCTCCGCCTCCTGGGTTCAAGCGATTTTCCTGCCTCAGCCTCCCTAGTAGCTGGGATTACAGGCACACACCACCATGCCCAGCTAATTTTTGTATTTTTAGTAGAGATGGGGTTTTGCCATGTTTGCCAGGCTGGTCTCAAACTCCTGGACTCAGGTGATCTGCCCACCTTGGCTTCCAAAACACCAGAATTACAGGTGTGAGCCACCACGCCTGGCCTGGGCTATCTCTTTTATAGAATCTTATTTTGTTTACTTATTCATGTGTTTCTTCCACCTGGTGCTGAAAGCTTAAGGGTCGTCTCAAGCCCATCCCAGAATCTGGAAGGTAAACAGGTGTTGAAACCCCACGGAGTGAGTTGGATACAGGTGGACAAG
Source organism: Homo sapiens (assembly GCF_000001405.40). Taxonomy (NCBI): domain Eukaryota; kingdom Metazoa; phylum Chordata; class Mammalia; order Primates; family Hominidae; genus Homo; species Homo sapiens. The sequence continues at coordinate 6,073,190 of NC_000017.11, read as the reverse complement.
TGAGTGGAGTGCCCAACCAAAGTCAGACCTGCCCAACTTGATGCTGCCACTGGGCACTCGGGCTATGGGAGAGAGGCCAAGACAGCCTGCTGCACATCCTTGTCCTCAGAATACTCTCGACCCCCTCATGTCAAGGGAGCCACTCTCTAGAAGGGAGCTCACATCTCCAGGGGCTTCCGGCAGCAAAGGAAGGGAAGCGAAGTGAAGGGGAGGGGCCTTAACAGCTACCAGCAGGTGCACTGTATTTCATAGCTGATGAAATGAATCCAGCCCATTCTTCCATCCACTTCTCACATCCACACCAGGAGGCAGGGCATATGCAGAGTTCCTCCCTGACCACATTCTCCAAGTGGCACACTTCCGATAATTTTTCAGGCCGTATGTCAGCACGATTGTCAAAGCCATGATGAGGAGAGATTAAAGGAAGAATGTGAAGGCCAGACCAGGAGGCCCAGGGAGAAGGTGGTGAGCGGAAAGCCACATTCATTCCCTCATTCCCCAGATGAGCAGCCCTGGATGTTAGGGCCCAGCTCTGGCCCTGCTAGTGTATATGATTATCACCTGCATTTTAAGGCCTAAGGCCCTGAAGGTCTAAACACTGAGCTGCCCCAAAGTCCTTGGCCTTGACCTCATTGTACCTCCAGAGAAAGAGTCAGGGAGCTGGTCTCACCAAGGCTGATGGGGGTCTGAGCTGGATGGGAGTACAAGCTTGGAGCTTCTATAATGAGAAACACCACTTCCCTAGAGGCCCTGCTCGGAGGGGTTCCATCAGGGCCTGGAGGCTCTGGATTCAGAGGCTCTGAGTCGCCTGCTCAGGCTGATGCCATAAGGAACCAGCTCTGTGACTCATTCCCCAGTGCTCTGGCCAAACTGATCAGGTTGGAGGCTCAAGCTTCAGCAGCAGACCCACTAGTGGCACTGAATATCCACTTCTGCTCGGTTAGGAAGACAGGAGGAAGAGACAGGAGTCTGGCCTTCTGCCTTATCCCAGCTTCTCTTCACTTCCAACCAGACATGCCACAGGCCACAGGGCAGTACCCCATAGGGCACAATGCCCACTGAAGAGAGGGATCCCCTCACCCCAGAAGAAGGCATTTTTACAGAGGAGCTGTGGAAATGGCCCTGCTGAGGCCTGGAGGATGCAGCCACAGGTGAGAGCCTTCTGGCGGAGAAGATGAGGCAGTCAGGCTCAGCCACCAGCCCAACCACCGCCAAGCCTCCTTCAGATCCCATGCCTGGGAGAGCTCCTGCTCTTCCTCCTAGAAACCCTGAGCTCTGGCAGCCGGTTGAGGCCCCTTCCCGGAGGATCTCCTGAGGGCCAATCTAAGTGTGTGGGGGTGGGGGCATGATTGAGAGAGACAAACCTCATTCTCCCATAGCCCAAGGAAACCTCCCCTAGCTCTCTCCCCAGCACCTGCAGCCACCAGGAGTGGGTGATTGCAAACAGCGCAGGGCAAGCCAGCTTTATATCTCCTGTAACTTTCACTCCCCACCACCCTCACTTTCTGTGCCTGACAACCTAGGCAAATCAGAGGAAAAAAGAAAGGCCCCCACTCCTGATGCCAAAGTGGGATAAACCAAGTGCCTCCATAAACCTAAGCATGCTGTTCCAGCAACAAGAGGGATGCGGGTATCTCATGTTAGAAAAGTACAGCGGAGTCCTGCATCTGTCCATCTTGGGAGCTGCAGGGGCAGGGCCAGTGTGGGGAGCAGCTGGATCCCAGTGCAGGGCTATGAGGCTAGAACTCCTATATGAGCCTTCCCACTGCTCAGCGGAAGGAAGAGCGGTCCCCTTCCCCACCCGCATTCCCGATCAGCAGAGCAGGCATCATCCCAGGCGCACAAATGCTCAGGAAAACCACCAGCGAGGTTACCCGGAGGCAGGGGACCCAGCCAGGTACGTACGCTCCTGAGTAGCCAAGAAAAACGCAATTTAGCAACCTTCAGTCGTGAGTCTCCGTCCACACCTACGAAGACGCAAAGCTCTACACTAGGTAATTTTCTGGACAAAATACATACGTTTTGCTTTTGCCTCTGCCTCTGTTCAAGTTCACCAAGAGACGGAGCAAACCCTCCGCTGACCGGAAGCCTCTCTTGGTAGCGGAACGAGAGGGAGCTGCTTCTGGGTAAACGTCGCCGCCTAGGAGGGAAGCTGTGCGCACCCCACACCCTGCCCTCGCCCCCTCCCCGGGACCAACCGCAGCGCCCTCCCGGGTGACGGACGGGCTCTCAGGACTCCGGAGGGGGACGCGGCTCGTGCGGCGCCTCGCGCACCCCCACCCCATCCCGGCCGCGCCGAGCGCCGCCCCCGCCCCCCCACAACCCCTGCACGCACCCGCTCACTCTCCCCTGCCCCGGCCGAGCCGCCCCGGGCCCCCGGGAAGGTGCCCCCGGCAAGCCCGCCCTGCAGCCGGAGCAGGTGCAGCCCCGCCGCGCTCCCAACCGCGTCTGCACAAACTTGTTTGCCCGCGGCAAGGGGAACACCCTGCTCGCAGCCCGCGCGGGGGTCCGGCTGGAGCGCCGAGAGACAGGACTCACCCCGCGATCGCGGCCGGCTGGGGCGCCCGCACCCGCGCCCATGGCCCGCCTTCCCCGGGCGCCGAGCCCGCAGCCCCCCGCAGTGCCCGGAGCCCAGAAGCCCCGGCGCCCGCACGTCTCCGGCCGCCCGCGGCAAGCGGACCCACGCGCCCGGGCACAGGGCGCCGCCGCCTGGCTCCCCGGGGCTGCTGGCGTCCGGGCTGAACGGCGGGGCGGGCGGGCGGGCGCGGAGCCGGGGCGGGCAGCGGGCGGGCGAGCGGGCGCCGGGCTCTGCACATGCTCACTCGCGCGGCCCGGGGACAGCGGCCGGCCGCCGCCGGGTCCTAGAGGCGCCGGTGCGCACCTCCCGCCGCCCGGGGGAGGGGTCGCGGCTCCGCCGGAGGGGGCCCACGCCCTGCCCCGGCCCGCGAGAACACGCGCGCGGGGCGGGCCACACGCGCCACTGCCGAGCAGAGACGCCGCCACCCACTCTGATACACACACACACACACACACACACCAGTCACCCAGAGCCACAGCCTTTCACCGGGGCCCCACGGGCTCTAACACACGCACCATGACGCTCACACCCAGACACAGACCCACAAACACACGGGGCACTGCCGCGCAGAGGAGAGCACGCCGCCACTCTCCCATGCAGACTCACAGCGACAGCCGCACACTGCCTGACACACACATCCCGAATCACTGCTTCCCAGAGACACCGACACCCACACTCACACACACACTCTCTGGGCTCTGCCCCACTCACCCAGAAGCAGACTGGGCCACTGTGACAGGCACGCACACGTACACACACAGCCACACAGTTTAGAGTGCACTCTAATACACACACACACCACACACGCACGCACACACACACACACACACACACACACCGGATCACCGTCCCATGCAGAGCTAGAGACAGACGGTCACAGCTTCACACACATTCACACTCAGAAACAAGCACCTGCTGGAACACAGACACTCTCACACAATCTGAGACAGACCTACACAGAATTGCAGCCCTACAAATACCCTGACACCAGCTCCCGCGTCTACACACTCGGGGGTCGGCCGCCGGCTTATCATACTGCTCCACACCGCACACAGTGACAAACCCACGCCTTGACATAGTTGCCCACAGAAGCAATGTCACACACTGGTGTCTACTAACAGACACACTCTCAGAGGGGCATACTGGGCATTGACCCACAGGCTCTCTCTCTCTCTCTCTCTCTCACACACACACACACACACACACACACACACACACACACGCACCGAGGTGGAAAGAGGCTGAACAGTCACACAAGTCTATACACAATCCCCCTCTTTAAATAAAGGCTGGATCCAAACCTAAAGATTTTTCCCAGGGAGGAGCCCCACCCTGTTCCCCCAAAGCCGCCAAGTCACAGCATCTGCCCTGCTCTGCCATGTGCACCGGTGGACCCTGTCCTCACCCGGAGCTGGCTGCTAAGATGCTCCCAGAAGCTGAGGACAGCAGAGGCAGCAGGAGCAGGTGGTGGTGCCTCTTACTCCGTCTTCCTAAAAGGGAGTTTCATGCCTCCGACTCCCGCTAGGGGCAGAGCTGCTTGGCCTGGCTCCGAGGAGCTGGCTTGCAACAGGTGCAGGTGGCAGGGAAAGCGTTTGCCTGGGGACCAGTCACAGTCCCTCCTTACGCGGGTCAGTCAGGTGGCGCCCAGAGCGGGAAGAGACTCGCTGCAGTTTGCATAGCTATGTCTGGCCAAGTGCAGAATTAGAACAGAGTCTGCACCATCCGCATGAAGGCAGAATGCTCTGAAGGTCTTGGGGCACCTGGATTTAATATCCTTAAGCCCAGGAAGAGGATACAGTAAGTGAGAGACGAATTCTGTGCTGCCTCAGAGTCCCAACCTTGCAGAAAAGCCCCCTTCACATATATATCCTTTACAGAATGTGAATGTGTGTGTCGTTACGATTTATAACAGCAACCCACTGTGCAGTCTCGCAATGCTGTTTGGTTTGCAAAGCCCTCTCCATGACCAGCTACATAATTTGAAGGGCCTAAAATAAAAATGGAGCCCCCTTTTAAAACACTATCAAGAATTTCGAGAGATAAAAGGAGGATATTAAACCAGTACGGGTCCCTTCTGAGCACAGAATTCAGAGCCTTTCACAGATCTCATACCCATGAAGCCAGCCCTGGCCCTCTCGTACCCATTGTCCCACTTAAAACTGATAAGTCTATAGATGCCTTCATGTGCCCATTTGACAGATGAGGCTTTCAGGTGGGTGATCACAAAAGGCTCACAGCCAGTTGAGCCCAGGGGAATTCAAGCCCAGCTCCTCTGGGAAGCCAGACATTTCCCGGCAGCTGCTATTCAGAAGTGTCCATCTGCAGCAGCAGACACTTGGTACAGAATAATCAAGCAGAAGAGTTGATGTGGCTGCCACCAGGGAAGGAGGTGACTCAAGAAGAAAAAGCAAAAGGCTGCTGGGTATCCATGCCATCTGTGCTCGATGTCACGCTGCACCTGCCCTGCAAAGCACCCCACCAGGGGAACACCATACAGCCCCTGTGTGGGTAGAAGCTAGAGTCAACTACTGACTCTAGGGAGGGAGGTTGAGGAAGGAGGCGCATGAAAGAACCCAGGAAGTAATTGAGAAGGGCTTGGGAGTCAACACGGCCAGGAGTATTTCAGTGTCAGGACAAAGCCCTTCTTTCTAGTGATGGTGACCAGTAAGAAGTGATAGGGAGGACTGATAACAGAGTCACTCCTAATCACAGTCCAACTCCTTGTCCCTCAGCTCTTCTCTCCACATAGTTGGGACTGTTTCATAGTAACTTGTATACCATCCCTGTCCCAAAAGCAATTGGTCCCACAATGCTGCCATCATATGTCCATTTACTGCTGAGAAATGTATCCCCCCACCCCCCAGGAGTCTGGGACTAAGAATCAGACAGGTCTGATGTCACATCAATCCCATCTCTCTGTGTTTCGCTCTTGAGTCATCCGCTCCTCTCTTTGCAGACCTCAACTATTGGATCCTAGGTATTTACATCACCTCCTTACTTCACGTCATCTGATAGCTTATTCTTCCTTCCTTCCAGCCACCCATCTTTTCATGTATTTACTAAGCAAGGCACCCATTGTGTGTTAGATTTTGTGTTGAACACTGGAGAGTCTTTGATAAAAAAGAACCGGTCCCCTGCAGGAGTTTCCAGTGTGAAGAACTGGACGAGAAAACAGACCAAAGTGAAAACATACCACAAAGAGAGAGCTCTGCTGTATCAGTCAGGATGCCTGCAGCCTCAAGTAACAAATAGCAAAGTAAAAGTGGTGTCAAGCAAAGGGTTTATGATCTCAGACAGCAAGACGCCTGGAGGTAGGCAGTTCCAAGGTTGGGTGATTCAGTCACTCAATGATGTCAGAATCTGTGGTGGCCTCTCTGTGCTCCCTGGACCGCCCCCTCATGACTGCAAAATGACAACTGAAGCGCTGTTCGTGACTTCCCCAAATGACAATACCCTAAGGCAAGAAAGAAAGGGACACTTCTTCCCACAAGTTTCTTTTTTCACTGGATAAGGAAACTTTTGCCAGATCCTCCTTCTGGCAAGGCCCATTGGCCAGAAGTGAACCCTGTGAGTACCCCTCAGCCAATACCTGGCCAAGGAGGAATGGGTTTGGCTAATTATAATTCATCCTCTGGGGATAGGCCAGTCATCTCAGAGCGCATCCCCACTTGATCAAAATTGTTTCTATGTTAGTAGATGGCTGCTGGGATGGCAACTAGCTGTGATGATAGATAGATAGATAGATAGATAGAGAGATAGATAGAGAGATAGATAGAGCGAGCATTGGAACCTAAATGACTCGCAACCTCAGTGTGGAGGAATTCAGGGAAGGCTTCCTGGAGGAGGTGACATGTAAGCTGGCTTTTAGAGGAGAAGTGGGCATCATCTGGGTCACCAGGTGCAGGGGCCATTCCAGACAAGGGTGGGGGGCATCCTTTGCAAAGGCAGGGAAGTGTGAAACACACAGGCTGTCACAGAAACTGCCAGTGACTTTGCACTAGCTGGTGCAAGGTCAGAGGTGGTTGGAGAGGAGGCTGAACTGTGACTGGCCACTGAACCCCGACTAGCCACTGAACCCCCATTCAGGCCACTGGCACCAGTGGACAAGGCAGGGCTGTGGACCACGCTTGAGCCACCACTATGATGAGCTCCCTTCACGGTGGTCATCTAGTCATCATCAGCCGTGGAAATGGTCATTCAACCAGTTATGAGTCATCAGCCATCCTACACTTCTATGTCATGTTGACAAAGGCAGCCTGACTAGTCATAGGCATGGGGGTGACAAGCCCACGTGGGGGTGAGGGCCGGGCGTGGGGCTCATATCTCTCTCGCCTTGACCAAGTCACAATCTCTCTGGGCCTCAACACTGTCATCTGCAAATCAGAGAAAATGCCTCCTTTATGGGAGTGCTTGTAAGGACCAAATAAAATGTCTGTTGAGTGTGAAGCAAAACAACATTTGCCATGGAATACGCACATAACACATTTTAGTAAATATTACAAGAAGGGGTTTTCCCCAAAGCTTTGCTAAAATCCAGAAATGCCACATGTGCAATGTTCTACTGAGCCACCAAGCTTGTGATACGTTCTCTTCCTCCACATGCCACCGCCCCAGAGCCTGCCCTGTCATTCTGGCTAAAGCATCCACCTCACTGTCCAGTTTCCAGTCTTCATGGAACATTGCCCTATCATCTCTTTGTGTGTTTGTTGGTTTATGATCTGTTGTCTCCTTCCCAACCCTCACAGCCCCCACTGCTAGAATTTAAGCTCTAATATGGCCCGGGAACTTACTATCACATTCAGAACTTTATCCTTGGTGCCAAGTTGAATTCTTGGTACATAGGCATACTTACTAAATATTTATTAAATAAATAATTGTGTTTTTAAAAACATGATGTGCCTAGCATGACATATTTTTAATAAACCCAAGAAGGCTTCCCACAGTCGTCATGTTTCTTCCCAAGAATTCAAGAGGCTGCTTCCCCTTGCTCTGGTCACAGACTGATCCCTGTATCCAGTCCATTGGATTCTACTGGCCACCAGGGAGACCCAGAGGATGAGTGCGGATGGCTCACTGCACCGCGTGCCCCTGCCAGGGACCGTGGTGGGATGAGGAAGCAGGTGCTCCATCGACACCCAGAGGCACCTCAGTAATCTCCTTTACCCATGCAGCTTGGCTGTATGCTCCACCAAGATGTTGGCCCACAAGGTGACACGGGCTTGACTGTCTCACCTGTGAAGGTTGCCTTTTGCTCCTCTGGACACTGCCTCATCTGAAAAAGCATCATTCAGAGATGGAGAGAAACTTTGGCAACATCTCCAAAGTGGAGATGCAGTTTCTTCTTTCTTTGCTTTGCTTTTTCCCCGCATAGTGCTGAGAAGTATTCGATGCCTGCTCCATGCAGGCAGATCTGAGGCTGGGTTCGGCACTTTGCTGGGCTGTGTATTTACTTGCTTTCTCCTGTGAGTGCTGCAGCGACTTAAATATGCCTCTGTAAAGATGCCAGTGACACAGATGGTAATTGTACCCCCTGCTGAGCTGTGCCTGCAGACACAGGGGTGTCAGGGGTGGGAGGGCGGCAGGGAGAAGTGGAATAGGTAATCTGTACCTGACTGGGAAGGGAGGAGCCTCCCGGATCACTGGTCTGGTCTAGAGGCAACTAGACTTCCTAGGCATGGGCCATTGGTACCCAGAAAGCTTCAGTAATTCACAGGTGGCAAAGAGAGCACAGTGAGGAAGCCTGAGTTCCTTTTCTGGCTAGAGGTGAATAGGCTATGTGGTCTTATGCAAACCTTACCTCTCTGAGTCCTGTTTTGCCCTTCTGTAAAATGGGCAGGTTTTCTAGTTGCTCCTGAAGAGCCTTTCTTTAAGGAAGGCAGGGGAATAAGACGAGAGTGATTTGGGGCCAGTCGTGCTTTTTTAGTTTGGGAAAATGACATCATTTTCCCAGATGTAGTTTTTTAATCTGCAAAATGGGGAAAGTATTTTATTTCTAGTGAAGAGTTTCTGGCATAGGGTTTATATTCAAGAAATGATAGCTATGATGATTCTTCCAGCTCTAACCAGTTCTGGTGTGGGGTGTGATATAGCAGGTGCTGGAATAAGGGTGGTTAGATTTGGGTTTATAACGTCCTGACCCCACATCACCCCCTCTACTGGCACAGGGGCAGCAGCTGGGCAAGTCTGAGGGACAGAAAGCATTGAGGGACCACAGATTGCAGAAGTTGGTGGGGTTAGAGGCAGAGCCTGTGGGATCAGCCATCCACTGGAAGGTGCACGGGTACTGGGGCAGCAAGAAAGCCCTGGTGCAAGAGGATGGCAAAAGTGGTCCCTGCTTTGCTCCTCCTGCCTACCTGGGGTGCACCAGCCAGTAGACACAGGTGCTTAGGAGAGAAAGCACCTCGACTTTACCCCATTTTTATGAATTTTCCGATAAGTCACTCATCAAAGGTCTTGAACTTGCAAGTCATCTTCTACATTAAGCTACTGGACACCTCAAGCTGATAGCATTGATAAGAGAGGAGGTGGGTCCACTTTAATAAACTTTTCATTTTGGAAGAATTTTACATTTACAGACATGTTGCAAAGAGAACCGAGATGGCTCATGTACCCTTCACTGGTTTTCCCCGTTGTTAACCTCTTTTATTACAATTGTACTTTTTCGGAAACAGAGTCTTGCTCTATCACCCAGGCTGGAGTGCAGTGGTGTGATCTCGGCTCACTGCAACCTCCACCTCCCAAGTTCAAGCGATTCTTGTACCTCAGCCTCCCAAATAGCTGGGACTACAGGCTTGTACCACCACGCTCAGCTAAGTTTCGACTTTTTAGCAGAAACGAGGTTTCACCACGTTGGCCAGGCTGGTCTTGAACTCCTGGCCTCAAGTGATCTGCCCACCTCGGCCTCCCAAAGTGCTGGGATTGCAGGCATGATCTACCGTGCCCAGCCTACTGTAGTACTTTTGTCAAAACAAAGACATGGGTTGACATTGACACATAGCTATTAACTAAACTCCAGACTTTACTTAAGTTCCACTGGTTTTTTCACTGATGGCCTCGTTCTGCTCTAGGATCCAATCCAGGGTACCACACCGCGTTGCGATGTCATGTCTCCCCACTCTCTTCTGGTCCGTGATGGTTTCTCAGTCCTGCCTTGCTTTTTGTGACCTTAATAGTCTTGAGACGTACTAACCACGTGGAGTGTCCAGTGGGCTCATTTCAAACAACCAGACATCACAAACTAAAGGAGATTTTGAAGCTGGTGGCACCATGTGACTACTGCTGCCACCTCTTGGGGCATAGGGCCTATTGGCCAACCTCCAGTGAGAGAGAGCTGGTTGGTGTCCTAAGGAAAGGCAGGGAGGAGGGGATGCTGCTGTGGAAGAAATTCTAACAGAACTGGGGCTAGCAGATGGCTGGTGGCTGAAATGAAATTCTGGAGAAAACATGATGTCAAGTTCCGAACGCACGGCTGACAGATTCCCGAAGGCATACCTGGTCTGGGTGAGGGGCCGCTCCCTCATTCCCTGTGCCCCTCTTCATCCCAGTGGCACAGGAAAGGGTCACTGGAGAAGCAGAGTGGTTTCTCCCCAGCCTCTACTTCCAGCTCTGCTCTTTGACCCCATATGGGCAGATTTGTCCACTTAAACAGCCAGCCGCCCCCTGCCGTATTTCAGCTCAAGAGAGAACAACACACTGATGTCAATGGGTGCAATAAATGCTTTGTAAGCATCCTTTCCAGGGCAAATTAATTCTTTGTTTGGAAATATTTTTAAGAAAGTGAAACGCTTTTAGTTCTTTCTAATCCCTTTCCTCGACCTCTCCTTTTTAGGGCTTTCTGTTGGAGCACATAAAACTAGCTGTACTGCTGGCTCTTTTCTGTGTCATCTCGGGACCATGAGGTGACAAGCCAACCCTCTAAGGGGAAAAAGCACAAATAAAACAGTATCCCAGGCCCTTGGTGACACACCTGAGCTTCTCTGCCAATGGAGGACCCTTTATCTCTGAACATATGTCAGAAAAATAAAGTCTATTTGTACTGGTGAAAACAATCCTGCTCACTTAGGTGGCTTTTTTTTTGTTTGTCTGTTTGTTTGGGTTTTTTGTTTGTTTGTTTGTTTTGTTTGTGGTTTGTTTTTTTGTTTGTTTGTTTGTTTGTTTTTTGAGACAGAGTCTCCCTCTGTCGCCCAGGCTGGAGTGCAGTGGTGGGATCTCGGCTCACTGCAAGCTCCACCCCCCGGGTTCATGCCATTCTCCTGCCTCAGCCTCCCGAGTAGCTGGGACTACAGGCGCCTGCCACCACGCCCGGCTAATTTTTTGTATTTTTAGTAGAGACGGGGTTTCACTGTGTTAGCCAGGATGGTCTCGATCTCCTGACCTCGTGATCCACCCGCCTCGGCTTCCCAAAGTGCTGGGGTTCCAGGCGTGAGCCACCACGCCTAGCCTCACCTAGGTGTTTTTATGTGGTTTACTCCCTCCAAACTATGAGCCCACCATAACCAGCATGGGATCAACGAATTCCTGATGGATGTCTGCCGATCAAGTGAGCGGAACACTTGGAAACTCATGCTTACACTGTTTGAGTCTTTTCGAACAAATTTTCTCCATCAGTCACCTCCTCTGTCCAGCCACTTCCACCTCAATCTCTCCCTCCTCTCCCCGTGCTCCTCCTTGAAGCCCCTCCATGTGGAAACCTCCCCCCCATCACCTGTCCAGGTCATCTGCCCCCAGCTGAGGACAGTAGGATTGATGCACCTTATGCTAAGCATTTTGCATGCCATTTTATATAATCTTCCTCACAACCTTGTTCAATGTGTCCTGTTTTAGCCTCATTTTGCAGATGAGAAAACTGGGGCTCAGGAGTTTAAGTGACTTCAGTCAAGATCATACAGCTAGAAAGGGAAAGTTGGTTGGAGCTCAGGTCTACTTGGTTTTGAAGGACCCCATCCCCATGGGCTCTAACGAGTCACCCACATCCACCCACCTGTCCATTCCCCACCACCCCACCCATGGAGCACACCAGGCCAGCTGCAGCTCCTCTCGGGGAAGCCTTGGCCTCCTTCCCCTGTACAGTCATCTCATGGCCGGCACACACATGCTTGTTCTCCAGCTCTCAGATGATGAAGGAAATTCCATGGAAAGGGCACTGCTGAGTCACTACTCACACAGGGCATGGCCAATGTCAATCCCGTGAGCCCAGGGGATGACGGAGGGAGGAGGAGGAGCTGCTATTCTCTTTGAGGTCCTTGAGCTGGATCAAGGGATCCTCTAGGGAGAAGAAGAGGGAGAGAAAAAAATTCCCAGACCCAACCCTGCATCCACCCCAGTGCCAGATCCCCTAGGTCTGTGAACTCGCTGTCAGGAGAAAACCATTCTATCACAAGACATGAATAGGAAGGGAGGGCAACGTAACTTGAATAAATAAAGAGCTCCTCTGGGTTTTGCCTATTTCGTCCTGTTTCCACTCATGTGTTCTCCCCAGCGGGAACCGAGGGATAAGGTGTCGAGAAGAAACAGAATTCCTGTAATCCCAGAACTTTGGGAGGCCAAGACGGGCAGATCACCTGAGGTCAGGAGTTCAAGACCAGCCTGGCCAACATGGTGAAACCCCATCTCTACTAAAAATACAAAAAATTAGCTGGGCGTGGTGGTGCATGCCTGTACTCCCAGCTACTCAGGAGGCTGAGGCAGGAGAATTGCTTGAACCCGGGAGGCAGAGTTTGCGGTGAGCCGAGATCATGCCACTGCACTCCAGCCTGGGCAAGAAGAGTAAAACTCTGTCTCAGAAACACATACACACACACACACACACACACACACACACACACACACACCAGAAATGCAGAAGATCAAGACTCTCCGCAGACCAGGCTGACTCTGGTACTTGTGCATCACATTATCACATGTTCCCCAAGTCTTCTCACCCCTCAGAGCCTCAGTTTCCTCATCAGAAAAATGCAGATCATGAAGTTAGAGAAAAGAAGGCCTGCTGGGTCTTTGCCTTGTGACTCACACCTTCCAGGCATGATTTTACTTATTTCTTTTCCTTCAGAGATTTTGTCCTAATTTGCAGTTATATTTTCATGTGGGTACTTATTGGGTTAACGTCTGCTTCTAACACTGGACGTGTTAGAAGGCACGGAGCCATGCCAGGGTTGATGAATGCTGCTTCTCCAGAACCTAGACAGCATCTGCACAGGGCAGGGCTCAGTAAGGACATGTTTGATGAATGGTGCCCAATAGCTTGCTTCTCTGTCCATCCCCTCCATCTCTGTCCAGGGCTGTGTTGAGGCAAGACTATGTTCCCGTGTCTGGGAGGTGTGAGATTTGGACACCGGCTGGGGTGGAGAATCAGAGGAGGTGGTCAAAGGCTGGGAGCCTGCAGAGGACCTGGAGACACAGAGGGTGTCTGTATCATTCAGAAAGGCTCCGCCCATCCTGCTTTCATCAGTGTGGGCCACTCAGAAGAACAAGGGATGCATTTTCAAAGAATAGGAGAAGCATCAGAGGAGAACACTTCAAAGAAGTGGATGGAGTGGATGGAGAAGATTCAAGGATGAGGACGGGATGGTGTGATTTGCCTGGTTCTAGAACAGCAGACATACCTAGAATGCTCAGGGGAAGCGGAGAAGTTCCCGGGGTGGGAGCACGAGTCGGGGCAGGAGGCTGGAGGTGTGCGAGGAAACCCCAATGCGTTTGGCCTTCTCCTGGAGCTCGATGCTGAGACCGCTGGGCATTCTTCACCCGTGGGTGGAAGCCCTGATATGGAGGAGAGGGGGATGGTGCATCGTGACTATTGCCCGGGCCTGCTGTTGTCATGGCGAACAGTAGTGGGGAGCGTGGAGCAGGGTCTTTTGGTTTATGTATGAGTTTGACCCTCAGAATCCCAGGCTGAGCTTAGAACAAAGAGCTGGAGCCACCTGCTCCCCTTCAGGATCCCCAGGTGCAGAGGCAGTTTCAGCACCTGCCCGCCTTCCTCTCCCTGCTCCCAGCTAGCGCAGCCCTGGACAGGGGGCCCGGCGCCAGCACCCCTCCTGGTTCCTCACACCTGAGGGCTGACAGGGCTCAGGTGTACATCAGGCTCTCTGACAGCCTCCACCCAGTTCCCACCAAGCTGGGAGGAGCAGCGAAATGGGAAGTGACAGCAAGCACTAGGAGTCACTAAGTCTCTGTCACCTCAATTTGCAGGCAGACGGAGCTGGCTCTGCATGGATGCGGCACTTCAGAGACACCTTTTACCCTGCGGGATGTGCCTCACCCTCTGCCCCTCCCTTATCCCAGATCAAGCTTAGCTGTTTCCTGGACCCTGGGCCCCCTCTCCGGGGCCCAGCCGCAGCCCCAGTCCCCCCAGGGCTCATCCTCGGTGTCCATTCAGAGCCATCCTTGACCTTTCGTAAGGTCAGATCCGACTCCTCAACACCCAAACCACAAGCACCTTCGAACCCATCTTCAGGACCTCGCCCTCAGCATAAACAATTCTCTTCATCGCTTGCTTAAAATTACCCTTGAAAGGGTTGCTACAAGAACATGCAACGATCATGGGGTCAGGCTCTCAGGAATAATTAACTACTCCATCTGTGTTCAATTTATTTGTCTCCTTTTATTTTTACTGACAGACTGTCGGGGTTTCAAGCTACCAAGACTTTCTCCAAACAGTATTGCGTTTTGAAATAATTTAGGCGATGCCCTGTTTGTTACATGACAAATTTTGGAAGGACTCTTTCCTGAGGGAAAATATGGAGGAAAATAATTTCATCTTATATGCAGGCATTTATAGTATCTAAGATGCAGCTTTGGTCAAGTCACCCCCTTCTCAGGAGCCTTCAAGGCCCTACAAGGTAAGATACAGACTCCATAACCAGTCTACACCTGATCCAGCCAAACTCGCTATCCACGTTTTTCCAGCCTTGCCCAAGACTTTACCCTCAGCCCATGGATTAAATTCTTTTTTTTTTTTTTTTGAGATGGAGTCCTGTTCCATCATCCAGGCTGGAGTGCATCTCGGCTCACAGCGACCTCCGCCTTTCAGTTTGGATGATTCCCCCACCTCACCCTCCCAAGTAGTTGGGATTACAGGCGCCCACCACCATGCCCAGCTAATTTTTGGTATTTTTAGTAGATAAGGGGTTTCACCATGTTGGCCAGGCTGGTCTCGAACTCCTGACCTCAGGTGATCCGCCCACCTCAGCCTCCCAAACTGTTGGGATTACAGGCGTGAGCCACCGCGCCTGGCCTGGGCCACCGCGCTGGGCCTCCTGAATTAAATTCTCTGACTCCTCCAGACTGAATAAGGTGCCCCCAATCCAATCCCAGACACACATATGCAAGCACACACACATATACATGCATGAGTGTAAATACACATACATATCCATGGGCATATAAAAGATACACACATAAACAACACACACATATGTGCTGCAACACATCCACATGGACGCACGAGCACAGGCATGTATATAGAGGTATCCACAGGTATACATCTCTGTACCTGCACACACATACACACACACAAATGCTTTCTTGTGTGTTCGTTTTCATTATGACACTGATAGTTTGTACTTACTAGACTGTCTTTGGGTCCTGGTGCTGGTCTGACCCCCCTTAACTCAACTCCTGGTCCTCAGGGAGCTGACAGTCCCAGTGCCTAGTGAGGGATCATTTAGCACCTGGGTCAGCCAGGAGGCGAGGCCCCAAGACTGGTTCTGCCACTGCCTTTTGCTGCAGGACTGTGGGAAGTCCTGCCCCACTCTGAGGTCCAGTCTCCTACGAGGACAATGGATATGGACTGGCCAGCCATGGGTCCTGACATCTATCAGCCTGCGTGGCTCAGGGGGAAGCAGGCCAGTCCCTGTTCCTCTGGTGGGCAGCAGCTGGGAGACCACTCTGTAACTCCCCAGTGTGGCCGGCACAGCCTCCCAGCCCAGCTTATTTACGACGCTTTTAGCTCCAAGCGGACCCATTTCCGAACTCCTCTCCAAGATATAAATTATCTTAAAGGGCTGATTTGTATCCCTGTGGTTGGACAATGCCTAACCAGAAAGCACTCCTACCTTTCAACAATTTCAAGCCAGGGAGAGCTATGGACTTTTTTTCACCCTAATTGAGCACTTCAAAAAGAGGGGTTGAAAACCTTCAATAGGTTTCATTTTTTAGGGAAAGCAATTTTGACTTATTAGGCACTGTTGGCTTCAGAAACATGCTCGCTAATGACTTCTATTTAAATGTTTTCCTCCAGCTGAGAGGTTTAAAAAAAAAATACAGTGTTAATGGATTCAACATCCCCTCTGTGAGTATTTTCTCACTGCAACTTCTGAACTTTCTTGGCCAGATCCTCTTAAATGGGCAAGAGAACCCAAACAGATTGTGTTAAGAAAACCCCTGGCTGGGCGCGGTGGCTCACACCTATAATCCCAGCACTTTGGGAGGCTGAGGCAGGCGAATCACTTGAACTTGGGAGGCGGAGGTTGCAGTGAGCTGAGATCATGCCGTTGCACTCCAGCCTGGGTGACAGAGGAGACTGTCTCAAAAGAAAAGAAAAGAAAAGAAAACTCCTGTTGGAATTACCTGCAGGAACAATGACTGCCACCCCCCAGCCCCTCTTTTTAGTGCTTCCAGTAGGGTCTGCTATGTGGAAACGCAATCTTAGACGGCATCACTGGTTTCTCAGAATCTTTTACTGGTTCCTCATCCCCTACAGGTCTGAATCCACACCCTCTGGCTTTGCAAAAAAAAAGGCCCACCCTGCCCTCATCTGGGACCACAATCCCCACCACAAGGAGACTGTGCTGGCTGCATTGCGGAATTATCAAGTGGTCCCCCGCTGCCCCTGCCAGAGTCACAGGGTTCCCTCTTGAGCCCTGGCAGGAAGCAATGGTGTGTGCTTGCCCAAACTCCTGGCTGTCTTCTGGGGTGTGGGACCTGCACAGGCCCCCAAGGCCCAGGATCCAGAAAGGTCCACACAGGGTTTAATGCCCTGCAGTTGCTGTCTTGAAACACTCTCATTTTGCACTGGGTCCTACAAATCATGTAGCAGATCCTGCCCAGGCTCACTGTCCTCTCCTCCTCCTCCTCTCTATCTTTCTCTGTCCACGCTGTTTCGTCTATACGAAGTATCAGCCCCAGTGCATCTCTGCCTGCTCCTTGCCCTTGTGGTAAACCATGCAGAGGGGTACAGGGGGCAGGGAGGTAGTCAAACCCAGTGGCAGAACAAAGCTGGGGGCCAGGGTGCAAATCTCAGTTCCACCACTTCCAAGTTGCAATGACCTTAGGCAAGCAACTTTGCCTCTCCGAGCCTTAGTCTTCCCATCTGAAAAATGGGATCATCATCATCCCTATTTCCTAGGTTGCTACAAAACAGATTTACAGATAATCACAGAGCATCTGTAAGAGTGTCTGTCACAGAGTGAGAGGTAAATGATGTTGGTCACTGGTATTATTCCTTCCTGACTGGGATTGAATATCCATTTTTTGTGAAGCCTTTCTTCGCTGGCCTGACTCCATCACCTGAAGTTAAAGGTCCCCAGTTCGTGCTCCTGCAGCCTCCTCTCCTGTCCATGTTACAATTGTTTCAGTATTGTCACAACTGCCTGTCATAATACTTTACAAACACTTTTGTTTACAAGCGTCAGGCACTCGTTCAAGCTAGCTTGCGGGGCTTCCATAAGGTTTGGAATATAAATTTGGAAAACCTCTGGAAATGCAGCAATTACCCACTTTCCCCCTTTTACTTCTGCTTTTCTCTGAGCATTGGCCTCTCTCTCTCTCTCTCTCTTTCTCTCTCTCTCTCTTTCTCCTCTCTGTCTGTCTCTCTCTGCAGACCAGCATCCTCCTCGATTTAGCCACAAACTTAAAAAGCGTCACCCTGGCTGCGCGCAGTGGCTCACACCTGCAGTCCTAGCACTTTGGGAAGCCGAGGCAGGCAGATCATGAGGTCAGGAGATTAAGACCAGCCTGGCCAACATGGTGAAACCCTGTCTCTACTAAAAAATACAAAAATTAGTCAGGCATGGCAGCATGCACCTGTAGTCCCAGCTACTCAGGAGGCTGAGACAGGAGAATCGCTTGAACCCGGGAGGCAGAGGCTGCAGTGAGCCGAGATTGCACCACTGCACTCCAGCCTGGGAGACAGAGTGAGACTCGGTTAAAAAAAAAAAAAAAAAAAGAAAGTGCCACCCCGCAGGCTTCTAACTATACCTTATGGTTCTAGCCACTGGAAAGTTGGGTCATTCCTGATTCTGTTGCAAAGTTCTGCAGACTGAGGCTTGATTGGTCCCTCCAGGCTCAGGTGCTCATCAATGAGCCCAAGCTATGAGGTGACCTCACCCTCCAGCCGAACTCAATCCTTCTGCACTCATCTACCGCACACATCTATCTTTCCCTAAAAGGCCACAAAGGACTCCTAAAACACCACGCATTTCTCATCTTTACCACCTCCAGGACCAAGCCCAGTGCTTGGAACATATGTTGTTGTTGACTTAAGGAATGAATGAACGATGGGGGAGGGGTTTGCATGTCCCACTGGAACACCATGCAATCTCATAGCTATTCTGTTTCCTGCAGGAATCCAGGAAATGGGCCTATCCCAGAGCCAAAAGCCTCCGAGGCAGCAACCCACTCAGGAAAAGACCACCCCCCAAGCCCATACACTCAGGCAGGGCTATGCCTGTTCCCTCAGCGGCATGCAGAGCAAGTCTGGCTCACCTCTCCTGCTTGCACTCAAAACAAATCAGGGCTCGGTCTTCCTGAATATGTCTAGTGTGCAGCCTCAGAATTTAAGTTGATTTCTGCAGGATGGACCCTGCTCACTCGACAGAATCTACACCCTCAGAAATTATTAAAGGAGCAGAATTAAATTCACCGGGGTCAGAGGTCAGAAAATGCTGGAAACAAGGCAATCCCAGCAGAACCTTAGTTAATTGCCACAGCTGAACATGCTAGAGGGGGAGAAACACTGCTAAATTATTTACTTGGGCCCTAAGGTCAAAGTAAATAACAGAGGACCTGTTTCACAGCCAGTGGCCCCATGAGCTCAGGGCATAGTAGTAGTCAGGGAATTCCCAGCACCTAAGGCGTTTCTACAACCAGCACCTACTGACCCTAACTGGCCCCTGTCTAGCTCCTTCCCAGAGCAGGACAGGGCCAGGCGAAGATGCAAAGGAAAGAAAAGAGTGTGCCTGCTCAGGATTCCTCCAAGGAAACCCAGTATGCTGATTGTTGGATTTATAGCTTTTGCAAAGGGCTCTGTGCATTGGTAGACTTCTAGGAAGCCAGCTTAATGCTCTTCTTCCTAAGTTCCCATCTCAAAGAATGGAGTTGAAGGGAGTGTCTTCTCCCCTTTCCTGGTTTGCATGCAGAAAGCTTTTTCTTTTCCTCTTTTTTTTTTTTTTTTTTTTTTAGACAGAGTCTTTCTCTCTTGCCCAGGCTGGAGAGCAGTGGCGCGATCTCGGCTCACTGTCACCTCCACCTCCCGGGTCCAAGAGATTCATGGAAGGCTTTTTCAAAGCTGCCCCCTGGTCTTTGTTCCTTCATCCTCTCAGAAGTGAGCGGCCGCAGGAAGCAGGGACTGTATTGCTCCATCCCTGCAGGGCACCGCCTGCCCTGGTCCAGGTAGCAGAGCACAGTCAGGTCCCTCTGCCTGGCTTGATGCCGTAGCGAAAGATTTGTGCACCCCTATCTTTATTTTTGTTTGTTTGTTTGTTCAATTTGTTCAAACCTTGAGTGAGGAATAAGGTGCTATTTATTGGGGAGGTGTTCAGAGACCTCAATATTTTTCTGCACAGTCACCCACAAAGTCAATGTATCACTTGGCATAAGGCACAACCTGCCTGTCCATACCAGAACTGTTAAAAGACAACCACACAACTATAAAGAACCGATCTGGACTAATCCAGGTGTCTAGAAATTACCAAGGTTAAAGCGTGATGCCCAGAGTCACAGCCACAGGCTCTTGCTGCCCCTGAAACCACTCCATGTACAAATGTGGCTTCCTGAATTCCAGATCTATTTTTTTTCTTCCCCAGGGCACCAAATATTAAGGATTTGTGGAGAAATCCCTACCAAGTGGTACCCTGCTACTTCTCCTAGGTTTTGAACAAGTTGTGAAATAAAATTAAAAAGTAAAGATAAAGGCCAAAATATCAAGTTTGTTTCTCCTAGAAGCCAGGTGGAAAATGTGGCCTTGGGGCTATTAGACAAGTGGCTTCCTCTTACTCAACCCCTGAACCTGGCCAGTGTATCCACCTCGTCCCAGGCAGCGCCAGCCTGCAGCGTGGAGGGTCCTGCCCAAGTGAGACTTATGTCTTAGACGAGCAGAGAACTTTGCCCTCTGAAGTCAGACTTGACCAAAAGAAGAAGGACAAAGCCCAGCACGGTTATTCTTCCCAAGTTTACCTATCAGAAGAGTCAGTATGTGAAAAGCTGGAGAAAGGTCATGTGTGCTTAGGGGAAAATCCCTTTTCCTGTGAACCAGGAGTGGAGAAAAAGGAGTTCCCTTCTAACAACTGGTAACCCTGTTTGCTCAGTCACCCAAACCAGAAACTAAGGAATCATTCTCTCCTCCTACCTGTCTACCTCACACATGACTGTTTAGTCACTATATCCTGTTGATCCCAAATTTGCTTTTTTTTTTTTTTCTCACTCTATTGCCCAGGCTGGAGTGCAGTGGCATGATCTCGGCTCACTGCAACCTCCACCTCCCAGGTTCAAGCAATTCTCTGCCTCAGCTTCCCGAGTAGCTGGGATTACAGGCACCTGCCACCACGCCTGGCTAAAATTTTGTATTTTTAGTAGAGACAGGGTTCATCATCTTGGCCAGGCTGGTCTTGAACTCCTGACCTCATGATCCACCCTCCTCGGCCTCCCAAAGTGCTGGGATTACAGGCATGAGCCACCGCGCCCTGCCCCAAATTTACTTTCCAAATAAATTTCAAATCCGTCCACTTCTCTCCAACACCACTGACAATA
The DNA here is from genome assembly GCF_000001405.40 of Homo sapiens. Lineage (NCBI taxonomy): Eukaryota > Metazoa > Chordata > Mammalia > Primates > Hominidae > Homo > Homo sapiens. The sequence continues at coordinate 6,052,651 of NC_000017.11, read as the reverse complement.
CCCTGGTCCAAGCTGTCTCTCTCCCAGGCAACAGCAGTAGTTTCCTTACTTGTCTCCTTGTTTCTATTCTTCCCTCCCCTAGTCCATTCTTCTCTCCTCAGAGTAGTCCTTCTAGAATGAAATTCTGGTCATATCAGTGATGTTCTTAGAACTCTCCAGATCCTTACAGCACTGCCTTCGTCTTCAATCTCATCTGTTCCCCATCCCTCCTCATCCTGCGCTTCAGGTATATTCACCATCTCCCCATGCCTCCAGTGAATTCTGCCCACTCATGCCTCAGGGCCTTCATACATGCAGTTTGCTGGTTCGTTCTCTTGCTCCTTCTTTACTTTTTTACATGGATAAATTTTAATAATTTTTTAAGTCACAAGATGGAGTTAGAGCTATACAACATTCATGAACAGGAACAGTCTTAATATTATGAAGATGCCCAGATCCAATAAAATTCCTATCAAAATTCCAAAGTGCTAAATTTTTAACAGCAGCTTCTAAAGTGATTCTAAATTTGTATGTAGGAGTAAAGCCTGTAGAATAGCCAGGACATTTCTGATAAAGAAGATCCAGGAGAAGTGACTAATGCTAACAAATAACAGGACTTACTTTGATGCCAGAGTAATTCAGTCAGTTACGGAAATGGTGCAAAAATAGACAAATAGACTAATAGAGTCCAGAAAAAGATTCATACGCAGATAGACAATAGAATTACATATCACGACAATGGAAAAGGGAAGGGTTTTTTTTGTTTTGTTTTCAATTTTGTTATCTTGTTTTTAAATAAATAGTGCTATTTCAATTAGGTAGTCATCTAGGAAGAAGTACAGCTTGATGCCTACACCTCATACCATACTCAACAAGGCAAGTTACAGCTAGAAGAAGATGTAATACGTACAAGGATTAGTATCAATAACATGAAAAGAACTACAACTGGGCCAGGTGCAGTGGCTCACACGGGTAATCCCAGCACTTTGGGAGGCCGAGGCAGGTGGATCACCTGAGTCCAGGAGTTTCATACCAGCCTGGACAACATGACAAAATCCCATCTCTAAAATAAAAAAAAGAAAGAAAAAAAAAAGAACTACTACCGTAACTCAAGGTAACCAAATAATTGCTAATTAATTAATAATAAAATTGGATCACACATGGGCCAAAAATGAACGTGTATCATAAAAATGTATTCATCTGCTCAGCCTCATCTGTTATGGTATTCAGCCGTAACAGAATACCAAAAACTGGGTGGTTCAAACAACAGAAATTTATTTTCTCACAGTTCTAGAGGCTGAAAGTCCCAGATCAAGGTGTCAGGAGGGTTGGTTTCTGGTGAGGGCACTTTTCCTGGCTTAGGGATGGCTATCTTCTTCTTCTTGTGTCTTCACGTGGCCTTTCCTCTGTGGGCTTGAGCTCCTGGTGTCTCTTCATCTCCTTCTAAAGACACCAGTCCTATTGGATTAGGGCTTCAACATTATGACTTCATTTAACCTTAATTACATCCTTGAAGGCCCTATCTCCAATTACAGTCAAACCGGGGGATAGAGGTTCAACATATGAATTAGGGGGAAACACCATTTGGTCCACAACATGAACTAAGGATTGTGCTTAATCCAATTCTGTGCACCTAAAATTTAAGTATTAGTAAGACCATCTATACCCAAAATATTTGAAAATAGGGACTAAGCAGACACTCACATGTACATGTTCATAGTAACACTATTCACAATAGCCAAAGGTGGAAACAACCCAATGGTCTATCAACAGATGAATGAACAAAATGTGGTATACCCATACAATGAAATTTTATTCAGCCATAAAAAACATTAATCAGCTCTGATACCTGCCACAACATGGATGAGCCTTGAAAATATTATGCTAGGTGAAAGATGCAGACACAAAGGATACATTTCATATTATTCCATTTATATGAACTATCCATAATAGGCAAATTTATAGAAACAGAAAGTAGATTAGAGGCCCCCAGGGGCTGGAAGAGGAGGGAATGAGGAATTATTGCTTAATGGGCAGTTTGTTTGGGGGGATGAAAAGGTTTTGGAAACAGATAGTGGTGATAGTTACATAATGTTGTGAATGTAATTAATGCCACTGATTACATGTAACCAATATGTACTTAAGGACGATTAAAATGGCAAATAAATATAAATATATTCATAAATATATATGAAATGTCATATATATAATATATATATACTATATAAAAATATATACTATATATGCACAAAATATATGTACTAGGGTGTGTATGTGTATATATACACAAATATGTATACTATATACAAATATATACATATACTATATATAAATATACATATGCAGCCGGGCGTGGTGGCTCATGCCTGTATTCCCAGCACTTTGGGAGGCCGAGGCGGGCAGATCATCTGAGGTCGGAAGTTGGAGACCAGCCTGACCAACATGGTGAAATCCCATCTCTACTAAAAATATAAAAATATAAAATATAAAATTTCAGGTGCATGGTGGTGCTCACTTGAAATCCCAGCTACTCGGGGAGGCTGAGGCAGGAGAATCGCTGGAACCCAGGAAGTGGAGGTTGTGGTGAGCTGAGATTGTGCCACTGCACTCCAGCCTGATGACAAAGCAAGACTCCATCTCAAAAACAAACAAATAAATACATAAATAAATATGCTATATATATGCGTGTGTGTGTGTGTGTTTATATACCACACTAATAAAATAAAAAGACCAAGGCAAATCCCTTTCCTAGTCTCCCACAGCACCTACATGTCTTCATAATATTTATGCCAGTGGTTTCTTATTTGTTTGTCCAGCTTCAAGTCTGCTCAAATTAATAAATAATTGTTAAGAGGTTGAATGAACAAAAAGCAGGAACCACATTACCCTTATTTTCTGCTACATCTACAACTTCTTGCAGGGTAACATACACAATTAAATATTTCTGGAATCTATGAATTTGCAGAACAATGCCCGAATTCAGCAACAAAGGGCAGGGGAGTTGTATCAATTATTGAGTTCATCATTGTATTCCTTGTTCCTAGCGAAGTGCCTGAGACCTAGCAGGAACTTGGTGATGTATTTATCAAGTGAACGAACGTGTGAATGAATTAGTGAATGAATGAATCGGTGTCTAGTGTAGAGAAGGAGGGAGGTGAGAGTCCTGCTGCCCAGGTATGGTCAGAGATAACCTGAGAGTTTGATGCACATGCTAAGAGCAAGTACAGAGGCAGCGAGCATTAGACAGAAGATTTCTGTAAATGTTGAAGGAACCGGAAAAGGTGTGACACTCTGTGTTCAAATGTGTCTTTAAACATCTGCCAGGCTGTCAAGGGGAGGAGGAAGCAGACATATTCTGGGGTCCCCAAGGAACCAGCGTTGGAAGCTTCAGTAAGGCAGATCTGGGCACAATGTAGACATGAAGATCTGTACGCTTTGTGCACCAGCCACATGTGAAGCATTCTGCAAGTTGTTTTGTTGTTGTTGTTTTTTTTGAGATGGAGTCTCGCTCTGTGGCCCAGGCTGGAGTGCAGTGATGCAATCTCAGCTCACTGCAAGCTCTGCCTTCCGGGTTCACGCCATTCTCCTGCCTCAGTCTCCTGAGTAGCTGGGACTACAGGTGCCCACCACCACGCCTGGCTAATTTTTTGTATTTTCAGTAGAGACGGGATTTCACCGTGTTAGCCAGGATGGTCTCGATCTCCTGTCCTTGTGATCCACCCGCCTCGGCCTCCCATAGTGCTGGGATTACAGGTGTGAGCCACCACACCCGGCCTGCATTCTGCAAGTTTTTTTTTAACATACATTCAGTTATACATCACACCTCCCTGAACCAGGCAGGACTTCCCCACACTTTATAGACAAAAGATGATGTGGCTTGCTCAGAGTCACAGAACAGGACAAGCCAGGACCCAGGGCCAGCTGACTTCATGGCCTATAGTTCAGAGCTGACCAAAAAAAGTCATAGGCTTCCTTGTAAGATCGTGAGTTCCGCATCACTGAGCTGGTCAAGTAGAGGCTTGGTTGATCACTTAACTAAGAGAAAACACAAGATGTAACTGAAAGGACGGACTGAACTGGAGTCTCGCTAGTTTCCTGACTATGGGTTCGCCCAGTCTTTTATTGGGCCCAACACAGCATCACAATGACTTTTGAAACTTTGGTCTAGTGAACTTACTTTAAGCAAGATCTATCTGTCCTCTAAGACCATACCTGACTTCAAGGGCAGGCATTGCAAATAGATTTTGTTTTATGTTTCAATTTGGTTCCATTGTTAGTGGCTGTCTGAAGTGCTGCCTTAAAAATAATTCTGAAGCTCTGTTTAGCCTTCATGGGAAAGTGTGCTTTGATTGATTAGTGATGTCTGTCACAGGTGCGGGGTAGTAGCTAGCAGATATTTGTTCTGTGTTTGCCATCCTTGCTCCAGGACATGCATTTTAACTCTGGAGAGCCCCATTGGATAATAGTGGTAAAGCCACAGTCATCTAAGAAAATACCAAAGTACATTGTCTTAGAGCCAGAAAGGGGATTAATTTTCAACATGGAGATTTGCAGCAGTCCACATTCCAATTCCTAAACATGACTCAACTCCCTTCTTTGTGGACTTGTTCTTTAATTAGGAATCTCTGCAAACACTTTGAAGCTGAGCCGTTTCCCAGCCATCCCAGCCCAGTGCCTGTCCCTGCTAGCTCCCCAGTCGCCCCAACCCACAGTCTCCTCAGAGCACCAGACTGGATTTTGATCAAGCAAATTGAAATGTATGTTTCCCACTGTGAAGTAAACAGCCATCCCCCTACCACATCTTTATCCCTGAAGCCAATTAGTGGCATGGCTGCCTTCCCAAGCAGAACAGGAGAGCATCTCTGTTCATCTCTTCTTTGGATGTTTTAGGGATGCTGTAGGCCCGGATCATAGCCTGTCTAGGCCTCCAGAAAATCTGGGATCCTTCCCTGGGCAAGTGACTTCAGGAGATTTCTTGGACAGCCCTGCCTTTTCAGTTTGCAGACACCTTCCCACAGGTGCCTCCGTGGTTAAGAGTGTAGGGTTTGGGCTAGGTGCAGTGGCTCACACCTGTAATCCCAGCATTTTGGGAGGCCCAGGAGGATGGATCACTTGAGGTCAGGGGTTTGAGACCAGCCTGGCCAACATGGTGAAACCCCATCTCTACTAAAAATACAAAAATTAGCCAGGCGTGGTGGTGCACACCTGTAATCCCATCTACTTGGGAGGCTGAGGCAGGTAAATCGCTTGAACCCAGGAGGCAGAGGTTGCAGTGAGTCGCGATCAGGCCACTGCACTTCAGCCTGGGTGACAGAGCAAGACCCCATCTCAAAAAAAGAATAAAAAGGAGTGTGGGGTTTGGAGCCTGATCAACTTGGGTTCAAATCTTGATTCTTCCATATACTTGTCCTGTTACTTTGGGGAAGTCATTTAGCCTGTCTGAGCTTTACTTTCCTCATTTCTAAAAGGGGAAGAAGAATATTCTAAACCTCATGATGCTTTATTCATTCCACCATCACTCATGCATATCCAGTATGCACATCTGCTCCATGCCACTGCCACAGTTTGCATTCAAGCCTTATCTGATATTCTTCTCTGTCTAAGGTTTGTGCCTTGTTAGGCATAACTTAAATTTTTTTAAGCCAGAGACATGGCTGTTTGAATTTGTCAGTGTCTTCTCTGCCTATGTAGGGACATTAAGTCATCTTGAAGCCGATTTTTTTTTCTTTCCTGGAAAAAGTCTCTGAAAGGAGCCCCCTTAGTAATGGAATAAGGGACACCAAGGAGCTCACTCTCCCAGAAGAAAGGAACCAAGGGACCTTTTCTGAGGTTTGATCATGGCTGCACCTCCCAGTATTCCAGAGCTGGTGACTGGGAGAAAATGTGGCAAAGTAGGGGTCTGTTGGGGGAAAAAAAAGGCCTCAAGAGCCAAGCTTCTTTCTCACATCTGAGGTTCAGCGATGCAGTCTGAGATGGGCCTGACTCAGGTCTGCTGGAAGCCCCAGGAGAACATACCTTGAGCTGTGCTCAACCCCCAAGTCTGGGTTGTGGTTTTGGTCTGGCCCAGAGGTGGCTCTGGCTGGTAGCCCCTCTTCCCAGAGGATGTGCTCTGGGGAAAATGCGGGAGCCAGAGAGTGTAAACTAAGGACGTTATCCTCAGGAACTGCTGGCAGCCTGCTGAGCATGCAGATCTGATGCAGCATGCTCCTGATACAGTAGCCATTAGCCAGCCACGTGTGGCTACTTAAGACAAAAATCAAATTAATTAAAATGAAATACACTTGAAACTTGAGTTCTTCAATCCCAACTAGCCATCTTTCAAGGGCTCAACTGCCGCATGTGGTTCGTGGTTACCTTAGATGGTGCAGAATGATAGGACATTTCAATCACTGCAATAAATTCCGCTGGACAGTGCTAATCTAGAAAAGAGTTTCTCAACATTGGCACTGCTGACATTTTGGGCCTGATACATTTTTGTTCAGGGAGGCTGTCCCGTGAACGTAGAATGTTAAGCAGCATCTCTGGCCTTTACCCACTAGATGCCAGTAGCACCTCACCCCCAGTTGTGACAACCAAAATATCTCCAGGCATGGCCAAATGTCCTTAGGAGAAGAGGGGAAATTGCCCCTAGTTGAGAACCACTGGGTTAGACCCTATAGACCATCATGAGCATTGCTCAGGAGTGGCCATAAATGCAACTGGGCTTGGCTAGTTTTCTTCAAGGCCCTGGGATAGTAGCAACAGTCTGCACAGTCCAGCCAGCCCTATCAGAATGAGCCAAGCAAGGGTCTAGGGTTCTTGGACAATGGGAAGGATGGAACAGGAGGAGGGTTGGCAAGGAGGCTCTAAGGAGCACTTGGCTCAGACAGGTTACATCTGCATCCCTGCCAGGCCTCCTCCAAGGCCTGCCTTCTGGCCTCCTGTTTCCTCACTCACGATTAGCCCCACACACTGGCTACTAGAGTAATTGTTGTAACAGTAATATCCCCCTGACTGTTATTTCTCTCTTTAAGTATACCCAATGTTTCCCATTGCTCATAAGATAAAATCTAGATCCCTTGGCCTAGCACTCACGCACCTCACAGCCCAGTTCCTCTGAACTTTTTCAAGTTCGTCAGCACCTCCCTTTAGTTAGCTGCAGGCCACACCATTCCTTGCCCAAACCACACGCTTTCATGCTTCTATGAGTTTGCATATGCTGTTTCCTATACCTGGAATCCCCTCTCTTCCTGTTCTTCCCATTAAAATCTCATTCATCTTTTCTATTTTAGGGGGCCTAAGACCACCCACATGATCACTGGGTCACTAGAAGAAATCACGGGTCTCAGCATAATTGACTTCACGGCTGTAGTTTATTGCAGTAAAAGAAAACACAACAAGATCTATGCAGGCAAAAGACATCAGACGGACTCTGGAGAAACCCAAGCACAGGCTTCCTCTCCCTCCCATGACACACTGAGGAAGGGACATGCTGAGCATGCTTTTTTCTCCAGCAGCAAAAATTGCAGCAACATGTATGTAAAGTTTCAGCCTGGGAAAGCCTGTTTGAGACTCGGAGTTTAGGGTGCGTTTTTTGTTTTGTTTTGTTTGTAATTGGGAGTTGATCACATAGGCACTCTTTGCCTAGCAACTACCAACATTTCATACTCCCATAAGGAAAATACATAAAACACATTGTGCAAAGAGTCCAGGCAAAGCAAAGCAACTTTAGCAGTTAAAGGATGTTTCAAAAGCCAAGTTCTATGACTCCAGCCAAGGGCCTACCTTGCAAGCAAGCTCTTCTAAAGATAGAAGCTTCAAGCTTGCTGTATTACTGTATTAATTCTTTTCGGCACTTTTCTTTTCCCAAACCGAAGGCTACTACACTCTTTGTAACACTTTTCTTGCCTGCAAGGTAAAGCTGATTCATGGCCTCTAGGTCCCATAGCTTCCCATGACTCCCTGTATCACAAGAGAAACCATGAGGGCCTTGTAACTGCCTGTGTATTTCCCCCTGCAGACTGTAAGCACCTTGAAGGCAGGGACTGGCATTCTGTGTTGGTGCTCCCAGGGCCACCACCCCAGAGGCAGATCTGGTGGTCCCTCAAACAGGAGAGTCAAAAGGAGCCTGAGCTCACATCCTCACTCTGCTGCCAACTGAGATCGTATTTTTCCAGGTGGCTCATTGGCGGAAAATACTTGGAATGGAGTACTGAGATACAAGCCGGGCATTTGGCGAGGCATCTTGAAGTGCCCAGGTGAACCAGGAGAGGGACAGAGATATCACTGGCTGGCGAATAATGCTTAGCCTCACCTTAGGAGAAGGACACTAGTAAGATGCTACTGGGAAGAGATGAGGCAGAGGAAGGGCTGCCTCAAAGTTCTGTACTTTTAGTTATAAACAGGAGGCCAAGATGGGCAGATCACGAGGTCAGGAGATTGAGACCATCCTGGCCAACATGGTGAAACCCTGTCTCTACTAAAAATATAAAAATTAGCCAGGGGTGGTGACGGGTGCCTGTAATCCCAGCTACTCGGGAGGCTGAGACAGGAGAATCACTTGAACCCGAGAGGCAGAGGTTGCAGTGGGCCCAGATTGTGCCACTGCACTCCAGCCTGGGGACAGAATGAGACTCCATCTGAAAAAAAGAAAAAGAAAAAAAAAAAAAGAAAAAAGAAAAACAGGGTTTATACCCCATCCTCTGGACTTTGGTGTCCAGGTGACCTGCATTGGAATTTCAGCTTCACCATTTCCTGTGATATCTAGCAAGTGTCTTAGCTTCTCCGAGACTCGGTTGACTCATTTGTAACATGGGAATAATACCTCCTTCACGAGGCTATTGTCAAGGTCACCTGAACTAAGACACATACAGCATTTAGCTTAGCACCTGCCCAGCACCCAGTCAGTGGAGCTGGTTGTGACTGCCATCCTCATAGTCACTGAATGATTATTGTTGGAATGTGGGGCTCAATTTGCCCTGCTCCCTTGAGCAATGAGCAGAGGAAAGGCTTCCTGAGTGTCAGGTTCTGCCTGGCTATGCCCATCCTTTGGGCAGCAGTTCCAGTTGCCACAGGAGTATTTGGCTTGGACCCCAGGGCTCCCTCACATCGCTCAGGCCAGTGTGGCCAGTTGGACTTACCCTGGGAAAACATTTACCATCTCTTGCCAAATAAAAAACACCCCCAGAGACTTGTACGTAACCATGGCAACTGCTTTCTGAGCAGGATTATTGTTACTTTATCAGAAAGTTCTCTTTTCCTTCAGCTTTTAGATGCTCCAAAGTTCACTGAATTTTTAAATGTGGTTTTATTATATCTTGGAACTAAATCTTTTTGTGCTAGAAACTGTTCCCCAATCAGTAATGAAAGCCTCCAAGAAAGAGTCTAGAAATCTCTCCCAAAGCAAAGACAACTTATATTCCCCCAAGTTGCCCACCACCATTGCCTACTTTTGCCCCTAGTGAATATCATCTGGGAAGTCCATGTCTTCTTGCTATGGATGACCAGTTTCGTCTCCTGGGTCTTCTCTAAGCTGCTCCACCCACAGAACCCAGGGGAAGCAGAAACTGTGGACTCTTCAGAGTAGGGACCTGCCAGATTCAACTCTGCAGCTGAGCTTCCTGGGCACCAAGCACAGATAAATGGTGAGTAGTTAGTTCAAGCCCATCCCAGCTTTCCAGACTGAGGGTGAGATTTTTTAACCTCCTTGGGCTCCAGTTTCCTCTTTGTAAAGGGGCTGATGATGTAAGTTAACAGTCTAACACATCGTTATGCATCCAATAAGGGCTCTATAACTGAATAAATGAATGCTTTAACTAATTAATTCCTTGCTGTGCCTCTTGCAAGTTTCCAATGAAGAAATGACCACAGAAATTCATTATAAGCTGCAAAGTGCTCCTAAGTGCATGTGAGCGTTGTTTAGGGTCGTTGTGGCTAATAATGAGAATGCCACCAGCAGCTGGCCCACCCTGCCAGCAGAAGTGCCTCCTGCTAACCCTGCTCCGCTGTGCTCAGCTTTTCCATGCCTGCCTTGATCATCCGTGCTCCTCACAGAGGAGAGCCCATGAGCCCAGCCTTGATAGATAACACTCCGCGCTCTTCCACCCTGTCTTTCTTCCTGGTGTCCTTACACCCTCTGGCTTCTCAGGGTTCACACTAAAAGCCACCGCCTACAGGGAAGGGTGAAGGAGAGAACATAAATGGCAAAGCCAAGATCTGGGAATGGTGAGGATATGGTTTGGATATTTGTCCCCTGTAAATCTCAGGTTGAAATGTGATCCCCAGTGTTGGAGGGGGGGCCTTACGGGAGCCATTTGGGTTATGGGGGCAGATCCCTCATGAACGGCTTGGTGCCCTTCCCAAGCTCATCACTTACCGAGAGACCTGACGGTTAAAAAGAGTCTGGGAGGCCGGGCGCAGTAGCTCACGCCTGTAAATCCCAGCACTTTGGGAGGTCAAGGCAGGTGGATCACCAGAGGCCAGGAGTTCAAGACCAGCCTGGCCAACATGGTGAAACCCCATCTCTACTAAAAATACAAAAATTAGCTGGGCATGGTGGCAGGCACCTGTAATCCCGATTACTTGGGAGGCTGAGGCAGGAGAGTCGCTTGAACCTGGGAGGTGGAGGTTGCAGTGAGCTGAGATTGTGCCATTGCACTCCAGCCTGGGCGACAGAGTGAGACTCCATCTCAAAAGAAGAAAAAAGTCTGGGACCTCCCTACCCCCTCTCTTGCTCCTTCCCTGGCCATGTGACACACCTCCTCCGCTCTACCTTCCACGACGATCTTAAGCTTCCTGAGGCCTCACCAGAAGCAGATGCCAGCACTATGCCTCTTGCTCAGTCTGTAGAACCATGAGCCAAAAATAAGCCTTTTTTTCTTTTCTTTCTTTCTTTTTTTTTTTTTTTGTAAATTACCCAGCCTTAGGTATTCCTTTACAGCAATGCAAAACGAACAGGTGGTTTATCTGACTTCATCTTGTTGTTGTCCAGGGAGAAATAAAACCCTGGGGGTTTCTCCATGAATTAACCTGTCCCCAGAAAAAAATGGCCATGCCAGCCCTTCACCCCTTGAGGTTTAGAGCCTGCATAGAGGACATTCTTTTCCCAACTGCTTTAAGGTGAATGAGTCCTTGGATAGTAGAGGAGAGGAACAAGGTGTCCGAGCCCAGACGGGAGGCTCCAGCCTGTTCCCGACACAGAAGCCGGTGGCAGCGCCATGGGGGAGCCGCCATATGCAGCTCGACAGGCTGCTCACAGCGGGGCCAGACGGTGCTGGACGGTTTCCAGCAAACACAGAGACAGAGGCATTCGACCTGGAGGTGGTGTCAAGGGGACAGCATGTGTTGCTGCGCTCCAAGGAGCTACTTAGAGGGTTAACCCTTCTCGGAAAAGGAAGGAGCCAGCTCTTGCCCTTACACCAGTGTCTCTCCCACTTGCTCCACTAAGACAATCGCCATTTTACAGCCAGGGAAATTGAGGCTCGGAGTAGTTGAGCAAATTGCTTAAGGGCCACAGCTAATAACTGGCCTGGTGACTGCTGGAATGCCACCCCAGGGATGCTGTGGTCCCACCTCTGGCTCTCTTCTGCTCCAGGAAGACCCTGCCAAGGTGGGAGCCCAGCCTTAGAAGAGCCTTGGAGGAAGGGCTGCTGAGGTGAAGGTCAGAGCACACTGGGAAACAGGAAGGTGCTAAAGGGGTGTGGGGAAGGCACACTGTCCAGCCAGAAAACAGCCTGAACCAGAAAGCTGGGGGCCACCCCCTTGGAAAAGGCGCCTTCTCTTTACTTACTTAACAAGGATAAGTTATTTATACACACACCACCGATGCCCAGGCTGGGCCCGAAGTCGGCATCCAGTGAACCCCGGCTTCATCCATGAATGACACTATCTTGGGAAGCGCACCGGCTAGAACAGCTCCAGTGAGGTCGCCTTTTACCCTATTATCCTGCTGGTGTTAGTGTCTAAAATTAGCTGGTCGATACTGTAAATACTGCTGAAAGGTCAGGCCTCCTGGAGCCCGCAGTGGGGGAAGTCTCAGCGCTGAGTGACTTTGACCAAGTGAGAAAACACAGCGGTTTAAAATTTCAAAGCTGGCTCAGAAAGAGCTCAAGCCTGGGTTGTCTAAAATTTCTCCCTTCCTCGACCACCGATGACCAATGTCACCAAGTCCTGCTTACTCAACCCCAAGAGCAGCCCTTACGTCATCTGCCCGCCCCTGTCTTAGCCCTGGCCACACCATTCTCACCTGGACAATTGCTCAGCTTCCCTTCTCACTGGCCTGCCTGGCCCTCCATCCAACCCTCCAAACTGGCCCCTCACAAATCTTCATAAAGAACACTTATTATTGGCTGGGTGCGGTGGCTCACACCTGTAATCCCAGCACTTTGGGAGGCTGAGATAGGCAGATCTCTTGAGGTCAGGAGTTCGAGACCAGTCTGGCCAACATGATGAAACCCCATCTCTACTAAAAAGAAAAAAATTAGCCTGGTGTAGGGGTGGGCACCTGTAATCCCAGCTACTCAGGAGGCTGAGACATGAGAATTGCTTGAACCGGGGAGATGGAGGTTGCAGTGAGCCGAGATTCTACCACTGCACTCCAGCCTGGGCAATAAAGCAAGACTCAGTCTCAAAAAAAAAAAAAAACGTGTTATTATTTTTATTATTAAGTTATGTGAGCATTTAATGAGGGATTAATACATGCCAAGCCCAGCACCAAGCACTTTATACACTTCTCAAAATAATCCTAGGACAAAGCGACTATTATCATCCATGCTATCATCTGAATGTGTCCCCCAAAATCTATGTGTTGGAAACTTAATCCCCAGTGCAATGGTGTTAGGAGGTGGAGTGTTTGGGGAGGTGTTCAGTTCATGAGGGCTCCACCCTCATGAATGGATTAATGCTGCTATAAAAAGGGCCTGCAGGAGTGAGCTCATTCCCTCCTGCTCCTCCACCTTCCACCATGTGAGGGCACAGTCAGAAGGCCCACACCAGATGCTACGGCCTTGATCTTGGACTTCTCAGCCCCCAGAACTGTGGGAGAATATATTAATATTTCCGTTCTTCATAACTTACCCAGTCTCAAGTATTTCTGTTATGGCAGCACAAAATAGACTAAGACATTCTACAGCTAGTGAAACTGAGGCTCGGAGTAGTTGACTAAATTGCTTAAGGACCGTGGCTTATTAATAAGTAGCAGACCTGGGGTTCCAACATAGCTCTGTTTGACTCTGTGGTCCTTATTCTTAACCTCCACACCCTACGGAACAGCCCTAATGCCAGATGTAAATTAGGCACGGCTCCCTCAAAGAGCTCAGTGTCTCAAGAGACAAATAGGCCCAGAGAGAACTTATAAAGCAATAAGACAGAGCCTGTTCAAAAGGAATAAGGGGCTGTCAGAGATGATACATTCACCTGGCTGGGGTCGCTGGAGGGGGACCTGCCACCTCACTGAGGACTTTGCTGGAGGGGGCATGGGATGAGAAGGACATTTTGTGCAAAGGGAACAGCATATTGGGGGTTTTGGTAAACAGGGTAAAACTGAGAGTTATGACCTGGTAGCAGAAGAAGTAACAGCAATGAAGTAGGGAGAAGCGGTATGACTAACAAGCATCTTACACATCATCTGTCCCCATTACACTTTGCCTCCAAGCCAGATCCTTGCCACGGATATTCTTATCTCCCTGCATGGCCGTTCCATTTTCCAGATGCTCAGACCAAAGAGCTTGGTGTCATCCTTCACTCCTCTTTGTCTTTCATCTCATATCTGGGCCATCAGCAAATTTATTCACCTCTACTTTCAAACTCTATCCAGGATCTGATCGCTTCTCACCACCCCCTCTGCCCCCACACCTGGTCCAAGCGGAGCCACCATGACTTTGCCCCTGGATGATTGCAGTCACCTCTGAACTTGTTTTTACCTCTGCAGTCTGTTTTTCATAGTGACCAGAGTGACTTTTTTTTTTTTTTTGAGACAGGGTCTTGCTCTGTTGCCCAGGCTGGAGTGCAGTGGTGTGACCTTGGCTCACTGGAACCTCTGCCTCCCGGGTTCAATTCTGCCTCAGCCTCCTGAGTAGCTAAGGTTATAAGCACCCACCACCATGCCCGGCTAATTTTTGTATTTTTAGTAGACACAGAGTTTCACCATGTTGGCCAGGCTGGTCTCGAACTCCTGACCTCAAGTGATCCACCCGCCTCAGCCTCCCAGAGTGCTAGGATTACAGGCATGAGCCACCACGCCCGGCCCAGAGTGACTCTTTTTAAAAGTAAGTCAGATTGTGTCACTCTTCTGCAGAAAACCCTCCCATCGGAGTAAGTCAGAGCAAAAGGCAGATCCTGACAGTGATCTGCAGTGGCTGGTGGAATCTGCCCCACCTTGAGCCCCTGAGCTGTCTTTCTTGTCCCTTTGCCCTCCCCGCTCTGGCCACACTGGCCCGCCAGCTCTTCCTAGACATTCTGGCATGTGCCCGCTTAAGTCCCTGCATCTATTGTTCCCCTTGCCTGGTACCCACACAACTCACCTTCTCACTTCCTTCAGGTAGGTGTGCACTTGGTCACTTTCTCACCGGGGCCTTCTCTAGCCATGCTCTTTAAAATCTGAACCTTCAGGCCAGGTGCAGTGGCTCCTGCGTGTAATCTCAGCACTCTGGGAGGCCAAGGCAGGTGGATCACCAGAGGTCAGGAGTTCGAGACCAGCCTGGCCAACATGGCGAAACCCCATCTCTATGAAAAAAAAAGCAAAAATTAGCCAGGCTTGGTTGCCTGTGCCTGTAATCCCAGCTACTTGGGAGGCTGAGGCTGGAGAATCGCTTGAACTCAGGAGGCGGAGGTTGCAGTGAGCTGAGATCGTGCCACTGCACTCCAGCCTGGGGAATAGAGCGAGACTCAGCCTCCAAAAACAACAAAAGCAAACAAACAAACAAAAAAGACAGAGGAAGCTTTGCTCACTTACCCACCACTCACCTCCAGTGGTGCAGCCTGCTTCCTAACAGGCCACAGACAACTACCAGTCTGTGGCCTCGGGGTTGGGGAACCCTGAGTTACACCATGCAACACCCATCTACCCATGTTTCCTGAACAGACTCCCTCCTTTCACACCTCTGAACCTTGATCAGGCCGTCCCTTTCCCCAGTCACTCTGCGTGGGCCTGGCCTGTCCCAAGGCCCAGCCCTATCTACTCTTACCTTCCCCAGGAAGCCATCCTTCAAAGTTCTCCCTCAAATTCCCTGGCTCTCTGCTCAATCGACTTCGTACCAGAACTAGTTATTGGTTTATTAGCTTATTTCTGTTTCCCAGTTAGACTGTGAGCTCAAATAGGGCCCAGAGGGGGTCCTCACCGGGGGTGGGGCTCTGCAGCCGCCTGCTCGAAGCATGGCAGCACCTGATCAATGTTGGAGTAACTGGATTACAGTAGAGGAACTGAGGGGAGCAGCCACCTCGCCCTCAACTCCTCTTCCTATCAGATATCTAACTGCTCCTCTAGGATAGGAATTAATTGTATCAAGTGAGATTTTCCTAGCCAAAAAAAAAGCCAATTTAGGGTTTTCAAAATAATTGCAGTTCTGTGTTATATCCCATTTGGGGGAGGTGACAGGATGCAGATAAACAAACCCAAAGCAAGCAGCAGAGGTGTCACCGTTTCTCTTAATAAAGGATGCACTGCATTGCTTAAGATCACTTACAAGGTGCCCTCCCACCAGCTGAGATTCCTTCAAATGCCTAGATATCCCCACCCACCACAGTGGGGCTCAGAGCAGGAGTCCCGGGCCCCCTGGCTCTGCGTTGAGTCCTGGCCGCCTGCAGGATCTCCAGGTCAGCGTTTGCCCAGGAGCTACCAGCCACCCAGCCAGTGTCTGCTGCCTCCCTCACCTTCAAAGCCCATCCTCTGCTGGCTTCAGTGTATCTCCAGCTGGAGGGTCATATCAGCCACCTTGCTGGTTTCCCTGCTTCCCCAGAACCTTCGTCCAGTCCCTCCTTCGAGCTAAGTAGCATGGGGGAATCTTTCTGGAATAAACATCTGAACATGCCCTTCTCTCCTTCGTCACTTGTAAAATTCTTTCTCTTCCTTCAAAACCCAGCTTGAATGTTACCCCATCTGTAAGAACTTTCTTTGCCTTTCCAAAGTTAAAGCTACTCCTTTGACACCTGTGTTTCTCTTTGTAATGCTTGTTACTTTGTGTAGGCTTGTTTTGACACGTCTAACCTCCCTGCCATGAGCCCTTAAACAACTGGGCAGAGATGTTGGAGGAATTCTCTGTGTTCCTGGAGCCACAAAGATGGGAGGATGGAGGGGAGCCTGTCTCTTCTGCCTCTTGATTGTGACCACAGTTCCCCATGAAGGCTTGTCTGCCACTCACAGGGTCTGCTGCAACTCTCTGGCTTGGAGGTACCACTAGTGCTAAGAAGGGTTGGCAGTGCCAGCCACGCAAACCGAGTTCAGAGCAAGATGCTGTCCCGGTGAGGGGCCTGGAAAGTGGAAGCACCTGGTGAGAGCCGGGAGGCGGCAGAGGCTGCTTGGAAATGCAGTGGTCCAGAGCTTACCCTCAGAGCTTACAGAAGCTCCTGGTGGAGGATCAGAGCCTGGGGAGACAGCTGCTCCTCACCCACCAGGCTGTGAGCTCCTCCAGGACAGGGATAATTGGCTTGCTCTGTGTCCCCAGTGTCTCCTAACGCAGAGCTGAGCATGAAGAGTGTTTGTTGGACAGAACTAAAGGCATGCTGCCTGGCTTGCTGCCAGAGTTGGGGCAGAGAGAAGAGAACCTACAGAGTGGGGATGGTGGGGCCTGGAGCTGCAGGGTGGGAGAAGTCAGGGGCTGACACACACACCACAAGCGCCCTGAGCCCAGCCTTCTGCACCACCTGCCACCTCTCCAGCCATTAACAATCCCAACACTGCTCTACTGAGATAGAGCTGCCTTTTTCAGAGCCCTGAGGTGCATACACTTTCTTACAGTGTGTTAGACACCTTTTGTGAGCAGGTAATGTGGTGCCCCGTACATCTGTAGGAGGCACAAAACAGCGACCCTGGTGTCCTGTCTGGGGCCTGATTTTTCCCAGCTCTGCTGGAGGCTGCTGTCAGCAGTGGATTTTCAGAGCATGTGGCTGAGAAATAGCCACAGCAAATTCTACACAGGGACTGTCTCTGCAAGATGGGCTTTCAGCAGAGCTTCACTGTCTTCCTATACTTTTCAATGTCTTCCTAACAGTGGCAATATGCTCACAATATTTTAGTAACCAGAAAATGCAATAACAAATGTCATCTTTTCATGTAAAGAGATGGAGAGTAGGGCCGAGGTGGCACAGGGGCATTCCAGAAGGCTCGCGTGAGGTGGGAGTGGGGGAAAGCACCCATATTCCTGGAGTAGAGGATGGTTACATTGACTTGAGGGCCAGGATCCACTCAGGTGCAGTGGGAGATGCAGATGTAACCGAAGGATGGCCCCACCTGTGAAAGGCGCTGAGGGCCAGGTGAGAGGCATGGACTTGATCATGAAGGAGAGGTAGGAGCCACCAGGGGCCCTGAGCTGGGGAGCTCCTGAGTCAATGCTGTGCTTTGATGGGCCGCTCTGGCCACAGTGGCCAATTGGAAGATGGCTGTCACTGCCTGGGGGAGATTGGAGAGGGACTCTGAGCCACAGTGGTAGGGGGCTGGAGAAGGAGACAGACATGAGAGGCAGTGCAGAACTCTGCTAGGCAAGTGTTCCATTTGAGATGGGAGTTCCATTTCAAGAAATGGGATGTTTGAGAGGCAGAAGTGGAGGGATATGAGCAGGGGTGTGATGTGTTCTGATCTGCCCTAGGGGGACATCATCCCTCCTGACACAGGCTTGGTATAAGTCTCCATATTTCTCTCCTGAACCATGAGAGCAGCTTCCTGACTACACCACCATGCTCACCTGTGGCTCCCTCCCATCCAACCTCTAAGAACAACTGATGAGAACTTGGGAGAGCAGGGCTCTTCAAACTTGGAGGTGCATCCGAGTCATGCAGATCCTCTTAAAATGCAGGTCCAGGGTGAGGATGTGAAATGGTTTAGCTGTGGCCTCATCCAACTTGAATTCTATCTCCCAGAATTCCCACGTGTTGTGGGAGGGACCAAGGGGGAGGTCTTTGAATCATGGAGACTGGTCTTTCCCATGCTATTCTCGTGATAGTTAATAAGTGTCACGAGATCTGATGGGTTTATCAGGGTTTCTGCTTTTGCTTCTTCCTCATTTTTTCTCTTGTCACCGCCACGTAAGAGGTGCCTTTCACCTCCCGGCATGATTCTGAGGCCTCCCCAGCCATGTGGAACTGTAGGTCCAATTAAACCTCTTTTTCTTCCCAGTCTCAGGTGTGTCTTTATCAGCAGTGTGAAAACAGACTAATACAGGATGGAAAGTCAGCATTTCCAACAAACTCGCAAGTGATGGCCACTCTGCTAGTCCACACTTTGCATAGCAAGATTCTAAAACCCAGGTCTGATCATGAGACTGTCCTGCATACAACACTTTAGTGGTACCCCACGGCCCAATCCATCAGGACCAAAATGCTTCACAAGGCTTCTGAGGCCTGCAGGGATCCTGCTCTTGCCCACCTCTCTGGCCTCTTCCTAGACCACTCACGTCCCAGTCTTTCTTCTCTCCAGATGTACAGGACCATTTTCTTCACTTGTGGGCTGCTGTCTGGCCTTCAGAACCTCCTTCATGTTGTACTTGCTGCTTGAGATATCCCAATTCCCTCCACTACCACCACCACCACCACAACCACCACCACCATACACACACACACACACACACACACACACACACACACACACACACACGCCACAGTCTCTTTGCTTGTGGGAGCCTTTCTTATCCCCCTACTTCCCAACATGCTCCCACTTTGTAGCATTTGCCTCTTTTGTAATTACATATTCTATGTCTTTCCCTGCCACTGGTTCATGTAGGTATTCAGAACATTTTTGTTGAATAGTCCTGAACTCAATAATCAAACCTAGTCTGTATGACTCCAACCAGTATGGTTTCATTAAACCACATCTCCCTGTCTTTCAAGTGGAACTCAAGAAGGCCACCTGAGCAAGGGCTGCCTTCACACAAGTATCTGAACATCCGAATAGCCTCTGGAATCTGATTTCCAGACCCCCATCAAGGTTGGCAGCCCCACCCAGGAGCCACCTGGCTTTTCCTCTCCACTTAGGCCACCCCCATCCCATCCCCCACCTGCAGGTTCAGTTCTGCTCTGGCCCTTGTATGAGTCCTGAGGCAGGAGGTCAAGAGAGGCTCATCTTGCTCTGACTTAGATTCCCAGAGCTGCTACCTCCTGGGTCCGGGTGCCTCCCGAGAGTCAGTACCATCTTGCCCCACAGCCCAGTGACTGCCTGGTCCCCAGTGCCTGTACGTGGCTTGAAGAGTCCACTCTGGGCTTCAGGTCTGTTCTCTGTCATCTGTTTCCCCTGGGGCTGGAGTCTACAACTAGAGTCCTGTTTCCATCACCCACCCAATCTCCTAGATGGCTATTACCTGAGCTCTATCAAAACACCCCGTCACGCCCAGCTGGACTAACTTGACACCTTTTGGCAGCCAGGGAGATCACCATCTTCTTCAGAGTCAATATCAAGCTGGCCAGGCTTGAAATCCCCGCTTCACTGACAGTTAGGCATTTCCCCAGCTCTTAACCCTGTCACAAAAACGATGCCTAACCTGGAATGAGATCCCAGCGCTTTTTCCTGTGCTCTCAGGAATTTTATTTTTTTATTTTTATTTATTTATTTTTAATTAATTAATTAATTAATTATTTTTGAGAGGAGTCTCCCTTTGTTGCCCAGACTGGAGTGCAGTGGTGCTATCTCGGCTCACTGCAACCTCCACCTCCCGGGTTCAAGCAATTCTCCTGCCTCAGCCTCCTGAGTAGCTGGGATTACAGGCATGCACCACCACATCTGGCTAATTTTTTTTATATCTTTAGTAGAGACAGGGTTTCACCATATTGGCTAGGCTGGTCTTGAACTCCTGACCTTGTGATTAGCCTGCCTCAACCTCCCAAACTGTTGGGATTACAGGTGTGAGCCACCGCGCCCGGCCTCAGGGATTCTAATGAAAGGTCATTAGGATAAATTATTACCTAAGTCTCCCTTTGGCCTTAACAGGCAAATCCCTGAGAGTTTCAGATTTCCATCATTTACTGAGTCCAAACATAGGTGACCTCTCTTGAATTTGGGAAGGGCACGAGAAGGGAGGACCCATGATTAGGAAAGCTGATGAGGAGCTGATTACTGCTAGCCGTGCTGGATTTTCCTTTTAAATTATTCATCAACACAAGTTTAAATGTCTGTGTCCAAGTAGCCATCTGAAAACTAAATAAGCTGATGCAGTTAGAAAAAAATTGCCCCGTTGGAAACAGCAAAACTGAACTTAACAACTGATGGCTTTGTGAATGAATTTATTCTGTTTTCAGTATTTCAGCTAGAATTTCATGAGCTGGTCATGGAAGGAAGAAGGGGACAGTCTGTATTCTGTTGGTGTATAACCTTGTATTAGCCGGACCCTTGCTGTGGCTTGCTCATCCTGTGACCCTGCGCCTAGTCCCTTAGTATTTCCCTAAAGCTGAAAACCTTGCCCTTTAGCCATGGATGCCGGGTTCTCTGGAGTCCTTGTGGTGAAATGTGCAGGAATCTCGCATGTGGCTCATCAGAAAGGGCTCTTCTAAAGGGCAGGTGAGAGAAATGTAAACTTTCCCAAGTCATACGTGGAGTCAGCAAATCTCACATCTGGGAGTTTATCCTAAGGAGGTAAATTACAGGTACAAAAACATAAAGGCAGATGCATTTTCTAGAATAGCGAATGGTCTCATACACTTGGAGGGACAAAATTTGGAATTCAGGTTCCACTAAAGAGGAGGAGGCTTCATCATATCCCAGGCTTTTGGTGAGGACGCCTGAAGGGTCACCTTGAAAGAGTAATGGCTAGCCAGAAATAGAACAAGCTTTAAACAATTAAAGCCTGGATTCGAAATGCCATGTTAATGAAATACAGGAGAAAAGTTATGTAATCATCTCAATAAATGCAAAAATGCATATATAAATTTATTTTATTTATTTATCTATTTATTTATTTATTTATTTTGAGACAGAGTCTCACTCTGTCACCCAGGCTGGAGTGCAGTGGCGCAATCTCGGCTCACTGCAACCTCTGCCTCCTGGGTTCAAGTGATTCTCGTGCCTCAGCGTCTGGAGTAGCTGCGATTACAGGCAAGCGCCACCACACCTGGCTAATTTTTGTATTTTTAGTAGAAACGAGGTTTCACCATGTTGGCCAGGCTGGTCTCAAACTAGCCTCAAGTGAACCACCTGCTTCATCCTCCCAAAGTGCTGGAATTACAGGCATGAGTCAGCACACCCAGCCCTAAAAATTTAATATTCATTTATGATGAAAAACTTATAGAAAATTAAGAATATTCAGGAATTTTGTTAGTTTAAAAAACCTACAGGAATATTATTATACTTAATAGCAAAATATTAAGTGTCCCGTAGAGTTTGGAGATACTTTGCTATCACAAATTCTATCCAGCATTACATTAGAGAGATCCTAGTTAGTGCAACAAGAAAATACTGTATAGGATTAGAGAGAAAAATACTGAACTATCATTTGTCACCAATGACATGATTTTTCATTTTTCACCAGTGACATGATTGCATATATAGAAAATTTAAAAGAGTCTACAGATAAACTAATAGAGTAAATTGTGAATTCAGTCAGGTCACTTAATACAAGATCAATATATAAAAATAAATTATGTTTCTACAAAGTAGCAACAAACAAAAAATTTTTTTGAAGTATAACACTTATAATAGCAAAAAATTCAAATACTTAGAAATAAAGCTAATAGAATATTTGTGAGACCTCTACCTAGAAAACTGTAAGACATGGAGTTAAATTAAAGAATCCCTAAATAAATGAGCTCTGTTTATGGACTAGAAGACTCCATATTACAAAAACATCAATTCTCCCCAAATTAATCTATAGATTTGATGTAATATTAATTAAAATTCCAGAAGGTGCTGTATGTAGAAACTGATCATTCTAAAATTTATATAAAATGAAAATGGCTGGCCGGGCGCGGTGGCTCACGCCTGTAATCCCAGCACTTTGGGAGGCCGAGGCGGGCGGATCACGAGGTCAGGAGATCGAGACCATCCCGGCTAAAACGGTGAAACCCCGTCTCTACTAAAAATACAAAAAATTAGCCGGGCGTAGTGGCGGGCGCCTGTAGTCCCAGCTACTTGGGAGGCTGAGGCAGGAGAATGGCGTGAACCCGGGAGGCGGAGCTTGCAGTGAGCCGAGATTGCGCCACTGCACTCCAGCCTGGGCGACAGAGCGAGACTCCGTCTCAAAAAAAAAAAAAAAAAAAAAAAAAAGAAAATGGCTGAAAACATCCAAGACAATCACTGTCTGATGTCAAATTAATTAATTAATTAATTTTTTAGAAAGCTACAGTAATTAAGATAGTATTGTATTTGCACAAGGCACAAATAAAGAACTCACAAAATGACTCACATATATGTGTGTATGTGTGTACACACGTGATTGGTTAATGGCAAAGATGGCACTGCCCAACAGTGGGAAAAGGACAGTCTTCTCATTAACTACTGATAGGGCAATGACTGAATATCCATATGGTAAAAATGAATGTTGATCTGTACCTTACCTCACACAATACACAGAATTAATTCAAGCTGGATTATAGATTTAAATATGAAAGGTAAAACAGAAAAGCTTCTAGGGGACAACAAAGGAAACTGTCTTTATAACCTTGGGGTAAACAAAGGGTTCTCAACCAGGACACAAAGACACTTAACTTAAAAGAAATGATTGATAAATTGGACTACATTAACATTAAGAACATTATTTGTCAAATGACATCATTAAGAGGGTAAAAAGGCAAACCAATGTGCAAAAAGATATTCTCCACACATACAACTGACAAATGACTAATATAAAATATGCTTAGAACAGCTACAGATACATAAGAGAAAAAATAATAGAAAACTAGGCAAAATATTTGAACAGCCCTTTATGTAAGAGCATATTTAAACGGCCAATAAACTATGAAAATATGTTCAAAAGTATTGCTAATCAGGGAAACGCACATAAAATCACAATAAGAGCCACTAGACTGTCTAAAGTAAAAGACTTTAAATGCTGACAAAGATGTGAAAACTGGAGCTCTCTTGAACCACTTGAGGGAATGTAAGTTTGAACAATCACTTTGGAAAAGAGTTTCTCCCCCAGATTGAGAAGATACGTACCCTATAACCAGCAATTCTAGTCCTGGGCACGTGACTGACAGAAACATCCAGTTACATCTGTAGCATACACTATGAGAACGTTCACAGTAATATGATGTGTGATGCGCAAAAAACTGGAAACAACTCAAATTTCCATTAGAAAGAATGGTTAATCAATTTCAATCTATTTGTACAGTGAAACATTAAAAAACAATGAAAATAAGCAACTGACATTTACAATAACATGGATGAGTCTCACAAATAATGTTGAACCAAAAGCCAGACACAGCATAGCATATACTTGTGGTTCCATATAAAATCAACAAAAATTGCCTGACTCTCTTTATTGCAATAGTTGCTTAATTGCAGTGGTCTAGAACCGAACCTGCAGTATCTCCAAGGTGTGCTTGTACCTCTGGGTAGGCTGGAAAAGGAAAGATGGGGGAGAAAAGGTTTTAGTTTCTCCAACCTTTTCCACTAAATTCTAGGAGATGAAATTGTCAGTCAGGCTCTTACCCGACTGATACTTGCAGCGGATCCTTAATAACTTGTTCTTTGGTGAGAATAAATTTATTCGTCTCAGTGAATTGATGATGATTTTATTGCCTCGGGAGTGGAGGGGGTTGTTCCTTGTTTTTCTGTTTCCTTAGCTAAACGTTTCACCACGCTGTAGTCAAAATACAGCGACTGCTGAAGAGGAGGAAAAATCAATAGAGGACTTGAGTTTATTGGGTTTATCTTCTGGCTTTCTATGATGAAATAATGTCTAAAATTGGAATCCAGAAAATGAAGCAAATTGCAGAGCGCAGAAAGATTTTGTAATATCTTTGCTTCGCTACCCCTCCTTTGACCCACGCTGACTGTGATTTGAAATGCTGGATCTTTCTCAACAGAACGCCAAAACATACACGCGCGCGCACACTCAGGCACGTACGTTTCCTGACTCTCTATTACTTCCTGCTTCCTCTCTGGACATTCCTTGGCTGGGTGAAAAATTCCTGCCATGTTCCTGGCCTTGGTTCCCCACTTGAACAGTGAAGGGGCTGGATAAATGAGCTCCCTGATCTCATCTTACTCAGCCCCCAGACTTTGGTTCTCTGGCTCTCCCTGCCTCTTTTGGAAGCAATAGGTAGGCACAGGACGAACACAGGCAATGCTGAAAGCCCTTTGATCCCGCAAAGAATTCAGCAGGATCTAAAAGAATCATCTTATGTCTTGATGTGGCTGTGGCTCCATGGTTTCAGCTTAATTCTATACGCAAAGCCATCAGACAGAAGGGGCTGTGGAATGGGCCAGTCATCTCCATCACACTGCCCAGGCAGCCCCCAGGATAGCCTTCCTGCCTCTAGAATGCCTACTCCATTCACATATCCACTCGCTCAGTCATCATTTAATAACTCATATATTCCACAGTACACTGACAAGTCCTGGATCTTGAAAAGACCTCCCCACCACAAAGTCATCCGATACAAGTCCCTGCCTTAGCACATTAATGCCTCACCATGGACCACTGAAATTTGCACTTTCTTTGCTGATGTCCTTAGCCAGGGACCGCATGGCTCTCCTGAGAGGCAGCCTCAAATGTGAGTGCCCTGTGGATCAGGAAGGGCTTGCCTGGCTGCTGCAGTCGCTGACGTGGCCAGCACCCATGGTAGTGCAGCTTAAGGAGCCACCTTTGCTGCTGCCAGGGGCTCCTATGTCTCCCCTCCAAGGAACCTGAGAAACTGGCATGAGAGGAGCGTACCCTCTCTGGACCAGCTCTCTGACTGACGCAGAGTCCCCTTAAGGCCCAGGGTACACGTGGCACCCCCAGGGATTGGTCTGGGTGGCAGCTGCCAGCGTTCCTGTGACTTTCATGACCAGCTGCATTAATGCTGCTCTTGGCCTCACTCATCACATTGCCTGGCTTCCTTTCAGCCCAGAGGCTGCTCAGCGAAGGGTGTAATTTCCTGGCTCTAATGCATGACAAGGTTTCGCTTAAAGGATAAAATAAAATCACCTTGGGAGGCAGACACTAGGAAGTCATAGCTATGACTTGGTCCGCAGGGATATTCAGGGCCAGGCAGATTGGAGAGAGCGCAGGTGAGTCCCTGGTGTTCCTGATAACACAGCCACCCTGTGGCTCCCAGGTCCTAGTCCCATGGCCAGGGTTGGGATGCAGTGGGGCCAGGGTTGGAGCGCTGCACAGAATGAACCTATTACTTCATTTCTCGCCACAGCTAATCCCCTTTCCCCACACTTTAGGCCACTCCGCTTCTCTAGCCCCAAAATATCCCCAAGTCTTACCTGTGGGGAGACGGATGGGAGAGGTGTCCTTCTGCTGGAGTCAGGACTCTCTGTGTGGCCACGGAGTTGACTGTCCTAAATCTAATGGGCTTTTTTAAGTGACTGGAAGCTATGACCTCAGATACATCCACTCTGGGCTCCAACCCATGGACCCTCAGGCCACCTATTCCTCCAACAAGGGTCCTCACAGAGGCAGAAGCTTCTCCAGTCATACCTGTGGCCTTATGGAAGCCTTGGCACCACCCCTGGAGTAACACAGAACTATGTGGAGCCAGGAACGAGGAGGGGGCTGGGACTGACCCAAGGTTATCAGATGAGTCACTGACCTGGAGAAGGTCCTGTCAGTCAGGAGTCAAGGGCATGACACCCGTGGTGAAGAAGGGATTTCCCTTTCCACCCTGACCACCACTGACACCATCCTGGTGGGTAAAGGAAGGAAAGAGGATAAGGGTGCGAGGAGTGGTGAGACCCATAAGGGCAGCTCCTGCCTAGAAGCGTCCCCACATAGACCCCGGCGCTCCTAGAGGCACAGCTCAGGGAAGAGTATTCTTTGGCTGGACCTGCAGAACTTTGATAAAAACCTCCCTCCAGGAAGGTGGGGAGCAGCTCGGCCACCTCCCCTGCCCTCTTTCTTGACAGGGTGGTTAGAGCGGAGCTCACGCCCAGAGAAGTCCAAGAAGATGCCGGGAAGAATTGGATGTTCTCTGGCTCTGCCCTCAGAAGGAGCTCAGCAGAGCCTGCCCCAGCCACACATGCACAGACACGCTGCATCAGGGAATGAGGGAGCTCGGTCTCTCCATCCCTCAGCCTGGGCCAGGCACTGCATATGCCTTAGAGATGGCCCTTCAACAACCCACTGTGCTCCAGGCCATAGGCAGAAGGCTTTTGTTATTCCCAGAAGAATGCAAAAGGGCTGGGTTCCAGGCACCAGAACTCGCCTCCATTTCTGGCTCTGGGAGGAGCTCAGATTTCTGGAATCTCCTCTAGGCTGGGAGTAAGAAGGTTCTCGGTGTCTCAAGAGTTGGCCCTCACTGAAGGACTGAACCTGAGAGAGACGGTGGTCAACAGAGATGCATTTAGCACCTTCGCCCATAGACACTCCCTGAAGGGCTCTCTTGCCATGCTGCCATTGAAACTGAGGGGCTAATTTCACCAGGTCTACCTGCCTGCTTGCTTTTAGTTGCTTGCTTCTTATTATTTTTCCTCTTTTTCCATGAAGCTTAAGGTAGCTGAAGGCCTTGGGGCTGAATGCTGCAACTTAACCTTCACTGGCTACTTTATAGCTAACATTCGCAGGCCACATGGTAATGATTGCTTTAGTTGTTTTTCAGGAACTAGGGCTAGCTCCTGAACCAGTGGACATCACCAACCATTCAACTGGGCCTGCTCAAGTGACCAAGCGGTGGTCTTTTTATATCGGAGGGCCAAAAACTCCACCCTCCACCCTCAGATCATGCTAACACCATCATTTTCTGTACCTGTGTCCCATGAAATGCCATGAACCCTGACTACGCTTGCACAGAATGAACTTATTACTTCATTTTCCTCCACTGCTAATCACCATTCCCCACACTTAGACCACTCCACTTCTCTAGCCCATAAATATCCACAAGGCTTACCTGTGGGGAGACGGATGTGAGAGATGTTCTCCTGCATCCTCACGTGGTGCCCTTGCAAATAAATCCTTTCTCTTTTGCAAAACTCATGCCACAGTGATTCTGTGTGCCTGGGCAGAACAGACCTGGACCTGGAATATGACCTCCTTCAACCTCCTGACCTTGCTTTTAGGTAAGGACAGAAGCACTAATATGCAGGGATGAGCTTTAATAAGGGGAAGAGGAACAATGAATACCCACTAAAATTGGGAGGAGTTGAGGTCTACAGCAGAGAAAGAACTGAAGAGACACAGCTTCAGCTTGGCCACGCACTCCCTGGGCAACCGCAGACAGTGGCATTTTTCTCTCCAAACTTTCACTTGTAAAATACAGATGGCCTCTAAGGGATTTCTTCCTATGAGATGGCTGGGTAAGAACCCAATAAACATAAGGTATAAGAACAAGTCTGTAGAAAATGCAGACTGGCAGAAGCGGCTTTCTCCACTCCCTGGCCAATTCACCAGAGCTTCAGAGTCTTCAGGCTTTCACAGAAAGTGTCTGCTCAGAGCAGACTGTCTGTACTTGAACTACCCCGTCTCTCACTCACACACATGACAGGTCTTTTTGGAAGGATTGAAGCTGGGACTGAGGCAGTCTTCAAAGATGCAACACCGATTATTTTGAATATTCATGGAATGAGCTTCATTCGGGAGAGGGGAGGTAGGATGCTAAGCATAACAGCTGGACGTGCAGGTTGCAACGAGAACCTAATTTTAGAATTGTTTTGATATTTTTCCAGGGCTTAGTCACTGGTGTCTGGGACAAGAGAAGCCCAGAAGCGGAGAATGCTTCTTTTTAAAATGTGTGTCTGTCCTGTTATTTCTGAAGCAAAGAGAAATTCCTAGCTTTATTTCTGAAGCAAAGAGAAATTCCTAGCTAGAAAGGGACAGGGGCCACATTGGGAAACCCTCTGCCAATTTCTTTAAGAGTTAAACATGCATCTACCCTATGGACTTGATGTTTCTCTACTAGGTATTTATCCAAGAGAAATAAAAGCATATGTCCACAGAAAGCCTTGTATGAGATTGTTCATAGCTTTTTCATGATAGTCAGAAAACAGAAGTAATCCAGATGTCCATTCTCAGGAGAGTGGATAAACTGTGGCACAGCCATACAGTGAAATACTACTCAGCAAAAATGGAAAGAAACAAAGTCTATTGATACATGTTATACTACGTGGATGAATATCAAAAATAGGGTTTTGTTTGTTTGTTTGTTTTGGAGACAGAGTCTCACTCTTGTTGCCCAGGCTGGAGTGCAGTGTTACAATCTTGGCTCACTGCAACCTCCGCCTCCCGGGTTCAAGCAATTCTCCTGCCTCAGCCTCCCGAGTAGCTGGAGTTACAAGTGCCCACAACCAGGCCCAGCTAATTTTTTTTTTTTTTTTTAGTAGAGACAGGTTTCACGGTTTTGGCCAGGCTGGTCTCGAACTCCTGACCTCAGACGATCTGCCCACCTTGGCCTCCTGAAGTGTGGGGATTACAGGCATGAGTCACCACGCCCGGTAAAAGTAGGGTGTCGAATGAAAGAAGCCAAATATAGGAGAACATGCAGTAGGATTCCCATTTCTATGAAACTCTAGAATAGGAAGACTGGCCTATGGAGAGAGAAATCAGATTGGAGGTTGCTTTGGGGCTGGGGGATGGACAGGGAATGGGCATGAGGGAGATCTCCAGGGTGAGGTCAACGTCCTGTCTTGGATCCATCACGCCTCTTCCCCTCCATGCCTTCCGTTCAGGTGAAACAGAATTCTTTCCTGTCCCCATGCTACCAGGCTTCTGTTTCAGCTCATGTCATTCTTCCCCCTGGAAAGCCCCTTCACAGCCAGTCTCTGCAGGCCCAGAGCTTTCTAACCCAGGAGCTATTATCACCTTCTCCAAGAAGGCTTCCCTCTCTGCTCCCTCTTAGCAGGAGCTGCCCTGCCCTTCCAGCACTGACCTTACAGGGTTTTTCTTTTCTATTTTTCTTAGAGCCCTGATTACTCTTTGTGTGTGTGTGTGTGTGTGTGTTTTAAACAGTTGGTTGTGCCTATCTCTTAACTCCCTGGCTGTATTCTGACCTGACTGACAGCCTAGGCTATGTGGATTTCAGCCACCCCAACTCTTAACAAAGGGTCCCCAGTAGATGCTGGATATCTACATGAGGAATAAAAGAATAAATGAGATGCGAATCTTCCTTTTTGTGTCTGCCAGACACTGCGTTGGATTGTGTTCTGACTCCTTTCATTTCTCAGCCATGTAGGATGCAAGCCACACTGATCTTTGCAGGAGCATTCTCTGGGCCCCCAGAGAGGGCTGAGCTGCCAACTTCTCATGGAGTAATTAAATGACAAATTACCTGCAGGCTCTCAGCTGGAAAACCTGTAGAAGCACAGCCTTTCCATATTCATAGGATTTAATGAAATCTGAAAGCTTGGAAGGACCTTCACGGCTTTTGTTCTAAGGGCCTTTATTTACAGATGGGGAAACTGAGGCTCAAAGAGGTTCAGTGACTCATTCAAGAGTATACAGGGCCTTTTAGGGGTGGAATGCTCATCACCCTCTCCTTGTGTTTCTGTGGAGAGGAAGCTTCCATTCCACTTCCCAGAATGGGACAGGATTGGGGGAATATTTTTTCATCTTTCTCTTAACTCCTTCCCTCAAGAAGAGGAAACTCTTATCTGATGGAGAAGTTGGTGTAAAGAAAAACCACCAACCAAGGACTGCCCAGCTTTTCTCATGAACCACAGCAGTCTCCTTCCAGCTGCTTCTGCTATGCAGTAGGCTCAGGGGCAGGATTCCCGAATCCACCAGCAGACATACACACCCAGGGGGAGCCCAGATTCTTCAGGCATTCCAGCCCTCACTGGGTGGTAAATAAAATTCAGGAGAAAAAGACTTATATGACATATTTCGGGCTCAGTGCAACATGAGTCCACCAATGCACCCCTGTTGTAATAAAGTTGTTACTGTATCTTGATCATTATATGGCTTCTTGTGTCTGTTCGCACGGTTGTGATTAATTTTCACCCTCACCCTCAACACAGGGACCAGTGGAAGTGCTATGGGATAGCCAGGCCCCTCTCCCCTCTGTCCTGCAAATCTCCTAGAAGTGAGGTAGGAATTGGGAAAGAAGTGTGTGGGATGATGCCCTAGTTTCTTGTTTGGGTGACTAGTTGAACGGGGAAGTTGATCTCTTTTCAAACATGAACAAGACGGGAAAGAGAAGGTTTATAGAGAAGAAAAGGAGTTCAGTTTGGGCCGTGCAGGCTAAAGAAGCTGCAGAACATCCAACTGGAACTGTCCAGGGGGTGGGTGGAAACGTGACAACCTGGAGCTCCCAGGAGAGCCATGGGCTGGAAACTTATGAACCATCAGAGAACACAAGTGTGGGTATATGCCCATGGAGGGTGTGCAAAGTGAGATGGGCACTGAGGACAGGGCCCGCAGGAGCTGAAAGTCTGAGCAGTGGGTGGAGAATGAGAAAACCAGCCAACTGAAGGAGAAGGAGCAGGACTGAAACCAGGAGTATGTGGTGCCTCGGGAACTAAGGATGAAAAGACTTCCAGGGAGTGAACCCTCAGAAAGTGACAGGTGCATGTTTTCTAGTTTTCAGAGTTGAGCAGAAGTTCTCAAAATGTGGTCCACAGCCGACGGCACCAGCTCCCCCTGACAACAAGGTATGCAAATTCTCCAGCCCCACCCCAGAACGCCTGAATCAGAAACTCCGGGTTTGTGGCCCAGCAGTTTGTGTTTTAATAAACCCCCTGGGTGATTCTGATGAACGCTGAAGCTTAAGAATCTCCGGTGTTAGAGAGTGCCTTCTTACACATCTTTGATTAGATTTACGTCTAGGTATTTTCTGGGCGTTTGATGGGGTTAGATGCTATAATAAACACTATTTTAAAACTTACTTTTCTAGTAGTTTATTGCTAGTATATATGAATACAATTGACTTATATTGAGCTTTAATCCAGCGCCCTTGCAAAATTCACTTATTAATTCTAATTAATTGTCCACAGAGTCATTCCTCTGGATTTCCTATGTGACTGTTGAATGACATAGGATGATGACAGAGAGGAGCCCCTAGGTTTAGAAATCAGTAGAACATTGTGAGCTTAATAAGAGCTATTTTGTAAAACAAACAAACAAACGAACGAACAAAATTGGTGCCAAGTTAAACTGCAAGGAATTTTGCCATGCACCGCATGGGTGTGCATATGTGGACCTAGAGGCACAGAGAACCTTCCAGAAGATACCATGTGTGTGAAGTGTGAACCGAATTGCAGACAAGGCAGAATTTCCTCTTTTGACTCGCTATGAGTGTCATTCTTCCTCTAGGGACCAAAGCCAGAAGTTATCCCAGATTGACTGATGCAATATATTTTCCAGATAAGTGAAAGTGGCTTTCTCAGATCTAGACAGGATTCTATGCCAGTTATGGTGACCAACCATCCTGTTTTGTCTGGGAATAGGGGGTCTCCTGGGATGCAGAACTCTCAGTACTAAACTGGAACAGTCCCAGACAAACCAGAAAGGTTGGTTACCTGAATTTCCCACTTGAGCTTCATGGAGCTGAGCAGCCTGGTGATCCAAAAAAATCCAAAGACCATCATGAGAATATTGCCTGACCCCAGACACTTGTGAGGATGGGTTGTGAAAACTGTGAATGTTCCACAGCTGTTGTTTCTAGTCACGCTCCTTCAGGCTTTCAAACCTACGAGCCTGCAGCTCAGCCAGCCAAATGGGCTACTTATTTGGGCTGTCTTTTCTGGATAATGGGCAGAACAGAGGTCTTTGTCACCAGAGTTTTCCCTGAATCTCTTAATAGTCAGTACCTTGCAGATTATTGACCACTGACTATCAGCATCCAGGGAGTAGGAAAATATGACATACCCACATACTTTCTATTGAAATGTCAGTTCTTAGTCACATTTCCCCTTAACACTCAAGACAAATTCTCATGTGTAATTTCCATCTCACAGATAAAACGTCATCACTTTCCATGCAAGAAGGCAAACCTTGGAGACTGTTATAGAGATCACCTTGAATTCTCTCTAATTTTTATTTTTTTAAAAAAGATGAAAGCATTTGCAAATGCCAGTCATTTATTATTAGTAACAAATTACTAGCAGCGTGGCACATATGCACACCGGCATGTTGAGGTACTTCCTTGAGGAGCAACAGGCTTGAAATAAGTCTCTTGGGGCAAAAGGACGCCTGTGTGTGGATAGGTGGTGGCTGAGATGTTAGACATGACCAGAGGTACTGCTATGACAAGTCCTGATCCACCAGCCCAGATGCAGATTCAAACACTGTGGTCTCCAGATTCCTCCTCGTGATGGTATCCATGCCCAACAGCTGTAGTGAGTCATGGACATCAATCACCACCCCCACCATCCTTCATGCCTCCTTCTCTTGCTGTCTCTTTGCAGGAGCCTGAGGCCTTGAGGAGTCTTAAATCTTCATAGCCCTCTACCAGACAGGCAGGATGTTGAGGATCCAGGTGTCATGGCATCCGGTCCTGCAGCGAGACTGCCATGCCCCGTCATGCAAAGGTAAAGGGTAAGGAGCAGGCCATCTTACAGCAGGGAGAAATGGAAACAGTCTAGACATTGAGTCAGAAAGCCCCATGTTTGGGTCCTAGCCTAACCTCTCTGAACCTTAGCCTCGTCATCTCAAATCTCTCCAAATCTGCATGCCCAAATCACCATTTTGCATCCAACAATGTAATAATAGATATAGGCAAGAATCATCAATGGACATCAAAACCACTGGATGAGATGATGTGGGAGAATAGGATATTCACGCAGTCTCCAAGTATCACCCCACAGTTACTTGTTAATTACAAAAAAAAAAAAAAAAAAAATGTACTCATGCAACAGGGAGAGCTGGTGGATAACAACTTAACCAGGTGATCAAATTTAACATCACCAAAATTGGGACAAACTGACATTATGTAACTCTTGAGATAACGTAATGGGAAGTACAAAACATATATATGATACTCTACTCAAAACTTTAGTCTAATCATGAAGACATAATTAGCATATTCTGATGACTTGGACTCTTCAAAAATGACAATGTCATCATATATATGAATATATAGATACATATATAATGATTTAAAGCATTTCATATATTTATATAAAGATTTAAAGATTTAAAGGTAGGAAGATATTTTGAAATTAAAGAGTCTAATGAGAATTGACAATCAAATGCAAAGTGGGCTGCGTACAGTGGCACACGCCTATCATCCCAACACTTTGGGTGACTGAGGCAGGAGGATCACTGGAGCCCAGGAGTTTGAGGCCAGCCTGGGCAACATGACAACACCCCATCTCTATCTTTTTTAATGCAAAATGATTGACAATCAAATCTCTGATTAGTCTTGGATTCACAAAATTGAGGAAAGGGTATAAGAGACATTGCATCAGACACCTTTTCTATGTCTTTCCAAATTCTCTTAGCTCCCCCTCTCTCTAGCCATTGCTTTAGCAACATTCCATGCTGGCTTTAATCAGCTTTATGCAGATGCGGGCTGACAAGGTCTCTCTTCAGGCTTGAGCTGCTATGGGCCCCTTGATTTCAGCCTGGGTGTTTCTCTGAGCCCCCTAGCATGGAATGCCCATGTCCAGGCTGGATGTGCAAGGCTGTTAATGCCCCTGAGGTCATCACTGACCAGGAGAGACAGGAGCCAGGGGACAAGCCTCAAGCTCATTTTTCAGGGGAACCTAGGCTGGAAGAGACAGTTTTGGTAGATTCAAGAACTGTTTGAATACAGTTTGAATACGGACTGCATAGTAGACGATGTTAATGCTTGAATGCCAAATGCATTTGTTTGATAACTGTGCTGTGTAAGAGAAGATTCTTACACTTGGAAGGCACGTGTTGAAGTACTCAGGAGGTGAAGTGTCATCATGTCTGCAATTTACTTTCAAATAAACTTGCAAGAAAAAGTGTGTTTGTGTGGGTGCATGTACACACACACACACACACACACACAGAATGAAAATTTGAAATTAACACACAGAATAATCATTTGAAACACAGACGATACCGGTAACACCCGAGGGGCAGGTGTCAGCCTCAAAGCACTCACAAAGAATACCTCATTTCCCCATGACTGTCCAGGTGGGGCGTGTGACACCATGGCTGACAGCCATGTGCTTCTGATCCCATTTTCTGAGCATTCCTGTGGGCTTCAGCCTATGAGCCACATTGCAGCACAGTGAACAGCAATGATCCCCAAACATGGGCTGGTGTGGTATTCCTTTGCATTACTTATCTATTGCAACACAACAAATTATCCCAAACCTAGTGGCTTAAAACAACGGATATTTATTTCCTCCATTTCTGTGGGTCAGTAATCTGGCGGCAGCTTAGCTGGGTTGCTTTGCCTCAGTCTCTTGCAAGACTGCAATGATGGTATCAGCTGGAGCTCGACTGAGGCTGAAGGAATCTCTCCTAAATGTACGTATGCGGCTGTTGGAAGAGAGCTTCATTCATTTCCTCACCACATGGGATTCTCCAAAGGGATGGCAACCAACTTCCCCCAGGTGAGTGATAAAAGAGAGGCACACAGACACAGAGAGAGACCAAGCTCAAAGCCTCAGTGAATTTTATAACCTAATTTCAGAAATGCTATATTATCACTTCTGCAATATTCTATTGGTCATACAGACCCACCGTGGTACAATGTGGGGGGTGGCTACACAAGAACATGAATAACAGGAGGCAGGGATCAAGGGCGCCATCTTGGAAACTGGCCACCACATCCCTGAAGACGCTTTTTTTTCCCCTAAACCACATGTAACTTCTGAAATCTGCTAGGGTGAGGTTGGGAGGCTCTGGGAGTTCCAAAAATACATGAGTGTGTGCATACACCCGCCCCTCAACACACACACACTATCCTAAAACAGAGGAAAGATCCTGCCTTCCTGGGCCATCCTCGTTGTGTGATGCATTTGAGCAATGGTCAGTTGCCTGAGTGGAGACACCTAGAAGATGGATGCTGGATCAGTCAGGGTTTAGATTTCCTTAGAAAAGAGGACAGGGAAGAAAGGCAAGGAGGAGATGGTTGTTATGATGATCTATTGCAGGATGAGGAGGGAAGTGAAGTCAAAAGGAGGGGATAGGCTGGGGCAGTGGCTCACACCTTTAATCCCAGCACTGTGGGAGGCCAAGGTGGGTGGATCACGAGGTCAGGAGATCGAGACCATCCTGGCTAACACAGTGAAACCCTGTCTCTACTACAAATACAAAAAAATTAGCTGGGCGTGGTGGCGGGTGACTGTAATCCCAGCTACTCAGGAGGCTGAGGCAGGAGAATGGAGTGAACCCGGGAGGCTGAGCCTGCAGTGAGCCGAGATAGCACCACTGCACTCCAGCCTGGGCGACAGAGTGAGACTCTGTCTCAAAAAAAAAAAAAAAAAGGAGGGGATAAATAGTTAACAGTAAGTCATCTCCAACTGGAGGTCTCCATGGGGCTTTAGAACTGGAATGCTTGAACCGGTTCTTAGTGCTGGAGATAGCGATACTAGAGTATGAATGTGGGGATGATTGAGGCAGGGCTGGGGTGGCAAATGTAACTGCAGGAGGGTTGGTCAATGAAATTGATTATTTTAAGTTTCTCTGTATCTACTGTTATTCCTTTGGTGTCACTTTATCTTTGGCCATTTCTCTTGCTCACATTTCTAATTTAATATATTTGTAGCTTTCCTCTTTTCTATTTTCTTAATTATGTTAACTAGTGCTTACTTATTGTATTGTCCCCACCTGCCCCAACAAAGTACTAGCTTTTGTATTTGTTAGTTCTGCTATTTTTAATTCATGGATTTCTGTCCTTATCTTTGGCAGTTCCTTCTTTTGTTTTTCTTAAGCTTATATTGGTCTTCTTGTTATCCTAATTTTTGGAGCTAAGCCCCTAATTCATTTATTCATTTATATTCATTTTTAAAATTAATAACATAAATACTTAAGATCATGACTTTTTTCTGAGCACTGCTCTGGTTGTAGTCCATCAGCTTAGGTACATAGCGTTTTTTCTTTTTGAAGCAGAGTCTCACTCTGTCACCCAGGCTGGAGTGCAGTGGCATGATCTCTGCTTACTGTAACCTCCACCTCCCAGATTCAAGCAATTCTTCTGCCTCAGCCTCCCAAGTAGCTAGGACTACAGGTGCACACCACCATGCCTAGCTAATTTTTGTAGTTTTAGTAGAGACAGGGTTTCACCATGTTGGCCAGGCTGGTCTTGAACCCCTGACCTCAGGTGATCTGCCTGCCTCCACCTCCCAAAGTGCTGGGATTACAGAAGTGACCCACCGCACCTGGCCACATAGCATTTTAATTGGTCTTATTTTATTTACTTATTTATTTATTTTGAGACAGAGTCGCCAAGGCTGGAGTGCAGTGGTGTGATCTTGGCTCACTGCAAGCTCCATCTCCCGGGTTCACGCCATTCTCCCGCCTCAGCCTCCTGAGTAGCTGGGACTACAGGCGCCTGCCACCACGCCCGGCTAATTTTGTTTTTGTATTTTTAGTAGAGATGGGGTTTCACCGTGTTAGCCAGGATGGTCTTGATCTCCTGACCTCGCTATCCGCCTGCTTTGGCCTCCCAAAGTGCTGGGGTTACAGGCGTGAGCCACCATGCCCGGCCTAATTGATCTTATTTTGAAAATATTCTGCAATTTTGCTTTAGATTTCCTAACATAACGGTGTGTTTTTTGGGAGTTGGGGGTGTTTGATTGTTTAAGTGACAGGCCTTTGTGGTGGTTATATTTTATTGTTATTATTATCTGATGTTATCAAATTACAATCAGAGAGTGTCTTCCTTATTATTTCTACTCTTTGGAATGTATTAAGTGTTATTTTATGTCCTAATATCCTATATGGCCACTTTGATAAACATTCCAACAGATGTTTCAGGCATAGCAAGAGTGTCTTATCCATTGCTGAGCTGCAGTTACATTGTTTTACTTTATTAGTCATAATTTATTAATTTTACTTTATTAATTACTTTGTTACTTTTAGGTTCACTTATTTTTATCTATTTAATCTATCATGGGCTGAGAAACGAAGTTACCCATTACTATTGTATTTATCTCTTCTTTCCTTTGATTTTTCTGTTTTTTCTAAAATAAATTCATTGCCACATACGGATGCAAAAATATTCATGACAGATCATTAAGATTGTATCCATTTGTGAAAGGCTCTTTTTGGCCTCTTGCTTCGTGCTTTTCGCCTTAAATTCAACCTTGGTGGATACTGATGCTTTGACTTCTGTTTGCCTTTCACTGCACTTGCCAGGTATGAGCTCAGCCATCCTTTTATTTTTCCCTCTTCCCTTTCTGTTTGTCACTTGTTGGTTGTTTTTTTTTTTTTTTTTTTAGACAGTCTCACTTTGTTGCCCAGGCTGGAGTGCAGTGGCGTGATCTTGGCTCATTGAAACCTCTGCCTCCTGGGTTCAAGCGATTCTCCTGCCTCAGCCTCCCTAGTAGCTGGGATTACAGGCATGTGCCACCATGCTAGGCTAACTTTTGAATTTTTTGGTGGAGACGGGATTTCACCATGTTGGCCAGGCTGGTCTCGAACTCCTGACCTCAGGTGAACCTCCCACCTCAGCCTCCCAAAGTGCTGGGATTACAGGCGTGAGCCACCATGCCCAGTCTGTCACCTGGTTTAGATGCTCTTGCCTACAGCATATAATTTTGCTTTTTGATACAATCTGAGAGCACTTTCCTTTAATAAGAGTTTATCTCATCTGCAAATTATGTACGCAGAAGACATTCATGTTTGTTCTTAGTTGGTTCATCATTTTGTTTACGCTTTTTAAAATTTTTAATGCATCTTGTTGTTTTAAAAATGTGTCATTATATGGCCTATTTTCTTTATCTCCTTTCAAATGTTTTCCTTCTGATAATTTGAGAAGCTTATAAACTTATTTTAATTTCTCTTCATGGTTACCTCCTTAACTTTATGTACTATGCACATGTTAGCCAACGTGTCTCTTGCTCTAGGCATCACTGCAGCCACCAGATCTGTGGTCATCGGCTTGGCTTCCTGCAGGCACAACCGGACGGGGCCTTGCCTCAGGCATGAGCCTTGCACCCCTCACCTCCCTCCTCAGGCTTTGCTATTAAGGCCGAGGCATGGAACATCAGGAAAACTTGTGCAGCATCCACACATGTGTGACACGGAAGTGCTGGGCATTTATACCCTATGAACCACTACCCAGCGGGAGGTGGGAGTTTATGGATCAATTCTGCCTGCTTCCTCTCCTTGCACTGACAGTCCTGAAGCACACTGTTCCCACTCATGTTATCCTCCCCTCTTGCCTTGAGCACTGGTATGAAGAGCTCCGAACTCATCATTTTGACCCGCTTTGGGCATAGTTTTTCTGGGGCCTCCATCAACATGCTGATCATCATCCTCCTTGCTCCTTTTATTCCTAAAGTTCCTTTGCACAGATGTTGCTTTCTTCTGGGTTATATTCCTCTTTCAGCTCAGGGTGCGTAGTTCCTCAGCTGACTGTTGGCAAAGAAGGCAGCTCTAAGAATCTCTCCTGCGTCGGTGCCCTCGCATGCAGTGAAGACAGACTATGCTCAGGAGTGGGTGCCTTCATTCTCTGTGGTCACAGCACAGGGTGGGGCATGCTGGCCACAGCCTCTGCCCTTCCAGAATCAGAGAACCATGCCTTCCTCCTGGTCCAAGACTGTAAGTGGATGGGACACTTCAGGGACTGGGAGGAAGCTAAGTGTCAGGCAAACTGGATTTTGGTCGCTGGTCCACGCTCTCACTAATTCTCTCCACTGGGTTATGGCTGTTCTGGGCTGAGAGGAGTCTCCCTGGCTCCCAGTAAAGCCACGCCCTCACCCTGTGCCACACCAGCAGGCCACATGTTTGGGCATCTATTGGTTCATCTTTTACTCCTCTGCAGCTCTTCTGGGCTGCTAACCACCCGCAGCCTCCCTGCTATTCTGAAACTTGCTTATTGGAAGGGTGATGTTTCTCCCTTCCCTTGTTGGGCTCTGCCGCTGAGGTAACCTTAAGCCAGGACTTAGGAAGCTCTCCCAGCCTGCCCACTGTCCTTTCTGGCCAGGGGTCGTGAACTTTAATCTCTAAGGTCCTGCTTTGTCAGACTCTAAGGTTTGTAGAAGCAGGAATCTCGCATCTCCTTCCTCCTCTGGTCTGATTTTCACCACAGTTGCAGTCAACTCCCATACATGGTAATTCAGGGTTATGAGCATTTCTGAGTTTCATCACCGATAAAACTCACTTTTTGCTTTCGAGGAAAAGGGGGCAGAGATACATTTTTTTCTGGCTTTAGTCAAATGTCCCAACCACTCACAGTCTTGGACCAGGAGGAAGGCATGGTTCTCTGATTCTGGAAGGGTAGAGGCTGTGGCCAGCATACCCCACCCTGTGTCGTGACCACAGAGAATGAAGGCCTCCACTCCTGAGCATAGTCTGTCTTCACAGCATACGAGGGCACCCACGCAGGAGACATTCTTAGAGCTGCCTTCTTTGCCAACAAAGACTTTTCAGCATAATGTGTAGTGGCACGTTAAGGGACCCCACCGATGAAGTGACTAAAGGAATTTAGATTTTGAGACCCCTTGGTATGGGGAGAGAGTGGCACTCACAACCCTTTTGTGAAATAGCAGCTCGGTTAGGGTCTTGGTTTGACCTTATCCCCTGGACTGGAGAAAGGAAGGTATACACATCCAGTGTCTTCTCTTTCTTCCTATTTCCCCTGCTTTCTCTCCTCTTTCTTCCTCTCCTTTGTCCTCCTTTCCAGCCCCCACCCCCTGTGTGAAATGTCAAAGGCATGAAAATCACATGGAATCAGGTAGAAGTCTTTGAGTGCTGAGCTTATGGCAGAGGGAATTGGCATGGCTTGTAAGTCCAGGCCATGGATACACTGTTAAAAGGTGATCAGCAGGAGAGGGAGGAAGAAGACATTTTAAAAATCTAGGTCACAGCTTTGGGTCAGAGGTCAGGAGGGTTTTACAGCTGGGAAAGAGAGGAGAAAACCTGAGTTTGGGAGACAGAGCTGACTGAACTCAACTCTCAGCTGCACCATTGACTAGGAAGGACATAGTCAGGCAAAGTGATTCATCTTGCTGACTCGCAATTTCTTAATTGATTGAACGGAAACAATAGGACATCCATATTAGAAAATGATTGTAAAGATTAATGAGATTGTTATGCTCTGAAAGATGATGAACTAAATTTATACAGAATCCCTCCATCTACAAATACTTAGAAAGTTAGATAAATACAAAATATTTTTTAAATAAAAAACTCACAAAAAAGGAAAATCCCCAGAAACAAAAGCAGTAAATGTGTGAAATCAACAACACAACAGTCCCGGTTGCATATGCTCACCAGAAACATGAAGAATGTTCATACCAGCGTGGTTTTTAATAGCCCCAAATTGGAAACAGCCCAAATGTTCAATATAAGTAGAATGGATAAATAGTGATACGTTTAAATAATGGACCATGCAAATGATTACAAGAAAGAAACTCTAGTTACACACACCGGCCTGATGTTTACAATCAATGGTAAATGAAAGAAATACGAGGCACAAAGGAACACACACAATCTGCATCTCTTTATGCAAAACTCAAGTACAGATTTTTTTTCAAAAATATGTCTGAAAATGGAGTGGTGTTTACATAATTCTATGCATTTATCAAAACCCTAGAACTTTACATCACACAGGTTGATCTTTAATGTATACAAATGTTTTGAAACCCAACCAGGATACCAGGGGATCCCAGAATTGAATGAAGTCCGATACACAAATCTAACAGCATTATAAATGTACAGCATAAACAGACTGAAGGGGTAGGGGCGGGGAACTTAAAAATTTTGGAAAACTATGCTTTGATGGAAAACTGTAAAGCTAAAGAAAAAAACGAACTGACTCTGAGGATTGTACTCTAGTTGGTAAGTTTGTTTCTCACAAGAGCACAAGCTAACAATTCTGAAATTACATTGCATGTATCCCAGGGTCTATCAAATAAGTTAATAAATGACAGATCATGGAAGCTAGGTTTCTCCTTGCCAGAGAAAGTAACAATGTTACTAATAAGTAAGGCACTGAGGCTAAAAGGGATAGGATATTGGGTTAGAGTCAGACAGTAGGAACTCATGTTTAGTTTATATTAAACTATACACACACACATACACACACAGATGGATGGATACAGAAATAATTACAAATATGTATGTATGCATGGATGAATGAGTGCTCACACATTTCCCAGCTCTGTGCACTGAGAGGCCTAGAAGCAGTGACCCCCGATTAGCAATACACACACAGAGAATCCAGATCTCAGTGGCAAATAATCATTCTCCAATAAAAGAAACCAGGGCTTCTTGGAGAAATGGCTGACCTTGGGCAGGAAATACACAAGATGAAACTAGAGTACCTTATAGTGCTAGAAAGTAAGAATGCTAAAATAAATAAAAGGATAAATAAATAATAAATAAATGGATAGGGGATGCCAAAGGACACAGAAGCCAATCTAAAAACCTGAAAGCACTTCCAACGGCCAAAGCTGGAACAATTTCAGCAACAAACAAAATTGCCTAGTATTTGTTTAAAACCCTCAGTATAAAATAAATACACACAAGTCCATATTGATATAAACAAATGAGTTAACAAATAAACAAAGAGGTAGAAAAGATAAATTTTTGTTTACAGGAGAATTACAAATAATATAAATAGATTCTCCTCCTCCAGGATCCCCCAACACACTCCCTACCGAATGAAGGCTGGATTTGATGACTTGCTTCCAAAACACAGAGTATGAAAAGGGGGACGGGCACAATGGCTCACGCCTGTAATCCCAACACTTTGGGAAGCCAAGGCCAGCGAATCACCTGAGGTCAGGAGTTCAAGACCAGGCTGGCCAACATGGCGAAACCTCGTCTCTACTAAAAATCCAAAAATTAGCCAGCCATGGTGGTGGGTGACTGTAATCCCAGCTACTTGGGAGGCTGAGACAGGAGAATCGCTTGAACCCGGGAAGTGGAGGTTGCAGTGAGCCAAGATTGCGCCAACGTACTCCAGCGTGGGTGACAGAGTGAGACTCCGTCTCCAAAAAAAGAAAAAAAGAAAGAAAAGGCAAAAATAGCAACTTAACAGGGGCGAAATGTGGCAAACAGTACCTTAGCCAAGTGATCAAAATTCACACTGCCAGGAGTAAGTCATGTGGACATCATCCATCCCTGATGTGAGGCAAAGGGCAGTTTAGCTCTATGATGTTCTTCTGCAAACCCCTCACCCCAGTCTTAATCATGACAAACATGTCAGACAAATCCAAACTGACGGACATTCTGCAAAATACATGACCAGCACTGTTCAAAACTCTCAAGGTTACTGAAAGCAAGGAAAGTCTAAGGAACCGTCCAAGACAAGAGATGAGTGAGGAGACACAATGGCTGGATGCAATGTGCTGTCCTGGATGGGACCCTGGAGCAGAAGAGGGACAGCAGGGGAAAACTGGTCAAATCCAAATGCAGTCGAGAGTTTATTTAGGAATAATGGGCCAGTGTTAATTTCTCAGTTTTGACAAATACACCGAGGTTATGAAAGATGTAACAATTAGGAGAAACTGGGAAAGGGGTGTCTTCAGAACTCTCCGTGCTGTCTTTTGGAACTTTTTTGTAAATCGAAAATTATTCCTAAATGAAGTTTATTATTATTATTTTATTTTTATTTATTTTATTTATTTTTTTGAGACGGAGTGTCACTCTCGTTGCCCAGACTGGAGTGCAGTGGCACCACCTCGGCTCACTGCAACCTCCGCCTCCCGGGTTCGAGCAATTCTCCTTCCTCAGCCTCCCGAGTAGCTGGGATTACAGGTGCCCGCCATCACACCCTGCTAATTTTTTTGTAGTTTTAGTACAGATGGGGTTTCACCATGT
Organism: Homo sapiens; assembly: GCF_000001405.40. Taxonomy (NCBI): domain Eukaryota; kingdom Metazoa; phylum Chordata; class Mammalia; order Primates; family Hominidae; genus Homo; species Homo sapiens. Next base: position 6,009,566 of record NC_000017.11, on the reverse strand, counting down.
TGGCCAGGCTAGTCTCGAACTCCTGACCTCAGGTGATCCACCCGCCTCAGCCTCCCAAAGTGCTGGGACTACAGGCATGAGTTACCACACCCTTGAAGTTTATTATTAATACATGTAGCAAATTCCTGCCTAGGTATTTTCCCCCACTGATTCTAAACACTTATGTAAACATAAAAACCTGCACAGAAATGTGAATAGCAGCTTTATGCATAATTGTGAAAAACTGGAAGCGACCAAGATATCCTTTAACAGGTGGGTGACTAGATAAACAAACTGTGGTACTGTATTCCCCACTTACCTGAGATTTTGCTTTCTGTTGTTTCAGTTACATGAAGTCGACCATGGTCCACAAATATTAAATGAAAAATCCCAGAAATAAACATTTCATAAGTTTTAAATTGCATGCTGTCCTAAATAGTGTGATGAAATCACAAGTTGTTCTGCTTCATCCCACCTGGGATGGAGAAATTACGTGAAGCATCCCTTTGTCCAGAGAATCCACACCATAGACTCTCCCTGCCTGTGAGTCATTCAGTAGCCAGCCTCATCATTGACTGTTGCAGTATTGCAGCCTTGTGTTCAAGTACCCCTGACTTTATTTCATCATGACCCCAAAGTGCAAGAGTAACGATGCTGGTGGCCAGGCGCGGTGGCTCACACCTGTAATCCCAGCACTTTGGGAGGCTGAGGCGGGTGGATCACGAGGTCAGGAGATCAAGACCAGCCTGGCTAACACGGTGAAACGCTGTCTCTACTAAAAAAAAAAAAAAAAAAATACAAAAAATTAGCCCGGCATGGTAGTGGGCGCCTGTAGTCCCAGCTACTTGGGAGGCTGAAGCAGAAGAATCGCTTGAACCAAAAGACAGAGCTTGCAGTGAGCCCCGATCGTGCCACTGCACTCCAGCCTGGGTGACAGAGTGAGACTCCATCTAAAAAAAAAAAAAAAAAAGTAATGATGCTGGCATATTATAAAAATTTTTATATTTTTCTTATTAGATATCATTGCTAATCTGTGGCTAATTTATAAGATAAATGTTATTTATGTATAAATGTGTCATTTATGTATATATGTATGTATAGGAAAATACATAGTATATGTAGGGTTCAGTACTATCTGCTATTTCCGGCACCCACTGGAAGTCTTGGAACATATCTCTCAAAGATAAGAGGGCTTACTATATACACATACAATGGAATTCTTTTTCATTGAAAAAAGGAATCAGTTACTAAGCCATGAAAAGATATGGATGAATCTTAAATGCATATTGCTAAGCTGAAGAAGCCAGTCTGAAAAGGCTGTATGATTTATGATTCCAAATATATGACATTCTGGGAAAGGCAAAGCTAGAGACAGTAAACCAAGATCAGTGGTTGCCAGTGGATGGATGAGTCAAGGGAGAGTTGAATGGTTGAAATACAAGGGATTTTTTTAAAGGCGGCATCATTATTCCATATGACACTTTAGTCCACAGGGTCTTGCTCTGTCGCCCAGACTGGAGTGCAGTGGTACAATGATCACAGCTCACTGCAGCCTTAAACTCATGAGTTCAATGGATCCTTCTGCCTCAGCCTCCTGAGTAGCTAGAACCACACGCATGAGCCACCATGGCCGCCTAATTGTTTTTAGAGATGGGGTTTCATTACGTTGCCCAAGTTGGTCTTGAACTCCTGGCCTCAAGCAGTCCTCCTGCCTCAGCCTTCTAAAGTGTTGGGATTGTAGACGTAAACCATTTCGCCCAGTCCATATACAAAGTTTTAAAAAACACACTAGGAGGCCAGGCACGGTGGCTCACGCCTGCAATCCCAGCACTCTGGGAGGCTGAGGATGGTGGATCACCTGAGGTCAGGAGTTCGAGACCAACCTGGCCAACATGGTGAAACCCTGTCTTTACTAAAAATATGAAAAATTAGCTGGGCGTGGTGGTGTGCACCTGTAGTCCCAGCTACTTGGGAGGCCGAGGCAGGAGAATTGCTTGAACCCAGGAGGCAGAGTTGCAGTGAGCTGAGATCGCATCACTGCACTCCAGCCTGGGCAACAGATTGAGACTCCATCTGAAAAAATAAATTAATTAATTACAAATACACTAGGAGATCTCAGGAAGGAACATAGAAGGTGACCAAAAAAACTAATTATATTAAGAATATATGAAGGGACCTAATTGAAGGAGATGGAAGGAAATGGTGCTGACGGAAGTAACCTCGGAAATGAATGGCATCTGTAAGACCAAAGGCAAAAGAAAGCACTCTGCATGAGCGCTCTATTTGATAAAGTTGTTTCCCATAGAGGTGTGGGTTATCAGTTCTGAACCACGACACACGTATATGGAACTTAAACAATTAAGTAAATGGACGGCGAGGGCAGGTTTCTCACCGTGAGTGCGAGCTCACAGACAAGCAAAGGGAGGAGCCAGAAAGGTGCATGAAAAAAACCCCATAGAATATTACAGCACAAAGAGTGAATCTTCAGGTATACAAAGTTTTTTGTTTTTGTTTTTGTTTTGTTTTGTTTTTATAGAGACAGTGCTCTGTCACCCAGGCTGGAGTGCAAAGGTGTTATCGTAGCTCACTGCAGCCTCGAACTCCTGGGGTGGAGGATTGCTTGAGCGAAGTCTGTAAGAATTGGCATTGCACACATCAGTATGAATGCATGTTTAGCTGAAATAGACACAGAAGTTTACAAATAGAAATAGTTATAGGCATGTGTATGGACATGGGTTAATATATATAAATATATTGCATTGCTCTGTTGGTTTGAGAGGTCCCAATAGCAACTGTATCCCAATAGCAACAAACACACCTAGTACCCAGACCTTGGATTCTATGACTATTCTCAGATAATAGAAACAGGACCCCTTGGAGAAATGGCTGACTCTAGGACTAGGGCAGGAAATATACAAAATGAGCCTGGAGCATGTTATAGTGCCAGAAAGTAAAGGGGTGTTCAAAACACACACACACACACACACACACACACGGGACGGTGTTGAAAGGACAGAGGAGTCACCTGCAAGAACCCCCAATGGCCATGGCTAGAACAATTTGAGCCACAAAATAAAGAAAGTAGCATTGGATTAAAACCCAAAGCATACAATAAATATTCACGAGTTCATCCTGATATAAAGAAAGTATTAAATAAGTAAATAAATGGTAGAGAAGAGATAAATGTCTTGTGGAGAAAAATTTTAAATAATTTACGTAGGTACTCCACCCTCAAGGAAGTGGAACACAACTCCCCACTCCATCATATGGTGACTGCATTCCAAAGAGTACAATACTGGAAGAGACGGGGGAAAAAGGGTAACTTTACGGCAGAAAAACCTGACAAACACTGCCTGAAGCCAGTGATCAAGGTTGACATCAACAGCGATATGTTGTGTTGAGAGTCTGCATCCTTGACGTGATTCAATGAGAATGATACTTGAAATGTAGTGAATAATCATGTGTCAATCAATATTGATTTACGCATTGTGACAAATGTACCATCAGGTAAGGTGTTAACAGTAACAGAAATGGAGTGTGGGGATCTACAGGAACTCTCCGTACTATCTTTGCACTTGCTCTGTAAATAACAAAACTATTCTAGAATAAAAAGCTTACTTTATATTTTCTTATTTTACTTTAAGTTCTGGGATACATGTGCAGAATGTGCAGGTTTGTTACATAGGTATACACGTGCCGTGGTGGTTTGCTGCACCTATCAATCTGTCATCTGGGTTTTAAGCCCCACATGCATTAGGTATTTGTCCTAATGCTCTCTCCCTCCTCTTGGCCCCCTACTCCCTGACAGGCCCTGGTATGTGGCAACCTACAGAATGGGAGAAAATTTTTGCAATCTACCTATCTGACGAAGGTCTAATATCCAGAATCTATAAGGAACTTAAACAAATTCACAAGAAAAAAAAAAACCCAACAAAAAGTGGGCGGAGGATATGAACAGACACTTCTCAAAAGAAGACATTTATGCAGCCAAAAAACATATGAAAAAAAGCTCATCATCACTGGTCATTAGAGAAATGCAAATCAAAACCACAACGAGATACCATCTCAAGCCACTTAGAATGGCAATTATTGAAAAGTCAGGAAACAACAGATGCTGGTGAGGCTGTGGAGAAATAAGAATGCTTTTACACTGTCGGTGGCAGTGTTAAAAATCTTACTTTTAAAAACTGCATATCCCTAAATAAATTAACTACAATATTAACAGTGCAGAAAGAAAGTTTTACTAAAAAAAAAAGATATTAATGATCCTGGGTTAATTGATCTTAAAGAATGACAGATCGTTGGATAAAAAGTTGCTCAGGAAACCAAAAACAAAGACATGTGCAAGCAGAAAAAAATAAACCTTGGCATTAGCAATGCATCCTTCAGTGGTAAAATTATAAAGAAAATCCAGGGAATAACTGCCATTAAAAAATGATGATTAATTTTGATGGGATAGGAGCTTGGGGCAGTTTCTGGGAATGCTGGCAATGCTCTATTTCTCGACCTGGAAGCAGTTTCATGGGTGATAAATTTGTGATACATTATCAATAAAATATGGAGCTATACTTCTTTCTTTTGTGGACCTTTCTATATGTGTGCTATAGTTCTCAACAAACGTTAGGGAAAATAAACAAACACAGAAGAGAGAATGTGTTGGAATGTTCCATAACGGATGAAAGACATGAATCCTCAGACTTCTTCAATCTGAAACTAACAAAACTTCTTTTTAAAAAAAGTAAATCCACACCTAGACATATGATATGCAAGACAAGAAAGAAAAGCAAATATGAACAATATTTAATTCTATTAAATCTGGAAATTCGATTCATAGGTATCATATTATCTTCTGTGCTTTTCTGAATGTTTGAAACATTTTATAATTAGCTTTTTTAATATAAAAGAACCAGTGAGATAATGTATAACCATACCCAAAATGTCTGTTTAGATAAGTCAGAATAGTGGTTACCTCAAGAAAGAGATTTTTTTTTTCCTACCAAAGAAATACAGCTACCATTTATTGAAAGCCTACTGTGTTTTTAAAACTTAATTCATTTCATTTTCTTTTTTTTTATTATACTTTAAGTTTTAGGGTACATGTGCACAAAGTGCAGGTTAGTTACATATGTATACATGTGCCATGTTGGTGTGCTGCACCCAGTAACTCGTCATTTAACATTAGGTGAATCTCCTAATGCTATCCCTCCCCCCTCCCCCCATCCCACAACAGGCCCTGGTGTGTGATGCTCCCCTTCCTGTGTCCCTGTGTTCTGCATGTTCTCACTCATAGGTGGGAATTGAACAAGGAAGAGATTTTGTAACTGATCAGAAAGTGGTAGAAAAGTACCTTCTGGAGGCTAAAAATGTTTGTGTCTTGATCTGACCAGTGGTTTCATGGGCGTACACAAAATCTAACCAGCTGTGTACCTGAGATACACTTTACATACTTTAATGCACGTATATTTAACATCCATGGAAAAGTTTAAAGACGCTTAAGAGCTGTCAACATTAAATAATGAGATTCAGAAAATATGATTAAGTATGGAGTTTATTTCAGCACAAAGCTGGAAGATGGCTGCCCAGAAGACACTGACTTCAAACGAATGAAGTCAGAGTTCCAAAGTGGAAAAGTTAAGGTTTTACTGATATAGGCAGAGTCAGAGAGATGTTAGCAGAATTACTGCAATTTCCATACAAGAGCAGTACACACATTACAGCAATTTGATTCGCTACAGATTGCTATTAATACGTTCCAAGGAAGACTATTACTCCGTGAGGAAGGGCAGTTATCTGAGATGGTTTCATCTCTGGCACCATTTGGTCTTAATTATTTACAGGAAAAAGAAAAAGTCGGACATGGTGGCTCACACCTGTAATCCCAGCACTTCGGGAGGCCAAGGCGGGTGGATCACCTGAGGTTGGGAATTCGAGACCAGCCTGACCAACATGGAGAAACCCCATCTCTACTAAAAATACAAAATTAGCTGGGCGTGGTGGCATATGCCTGCAATCCCAGCTACTTGGGAGGCAAGAGAATCACTTGAACCCAGGAGGCGGAGGTTGCGGTGAGCCGAGATTGTGCCATTGCACTCCAGCCTGGGCAACAAGAGTGAAACTCCATCTCAAAAACAAACAAACAAAAAGGCAGAAGTTGCAGCTGCCTGCTGCATGACTCAGACTGCATAGCCACATTCCTCTCAAGGCTCAGAATAACGGAATGTTCCAACAGCCTTAAGTTTGAATTATTTTAAGTTTGAAGTACTTAATTTTACAAAGGGTCTGGCACAGGATTGACATTAATATGATACATGCATGCTTTGGCCCTGTAGAAGTTAGAAGGACTTTTCCTTGAAATAAACGAAGACCCTCTGCAGCCTGAGTAAAGAGGGAGTTTATACAAGGAGAGGACACAAGGATAACCTGGAGAACCCATAGGTAGGAAGCACCTGGGCCTGAAGACATAAATAGCTGGAGGAGGAATGAAGCCCCCTGGACTCTCCCTGCACCCCTCCTCTGTGCTCCTCTCTGTCCGTCCTAATTTTTCTCTCTCACAGATGCCTGGTTTCTCTGCTCCCCAGACCCCAAGACAGAACACAGGTCTCTCTCACTGCTGGGTTGAATTCTGCTTTTTTAAAGAGATGGCCAGAGCAAGGATAGGATGTCTTCCAAATTCCCAGGAAAACAGCCTACCTTTAGTGCCCAACCTTGAGCTAAGCACACTGACCAGGGCAGTGGACACCATGGGAAGCCCCATGACCGGTACAGGTTGAATCAGGGGCTCATCCACTGTGGCCAAGACGATCCAACAGGTGCTCTCTACGACCTGGCAATGGCCTACGTGGGTCAGGCAATGACTTGACAGCCACTCCTTAAGTCTGGACAGTGTTTTCTACCTTACGAGACACTTTCACACTCATGATTACTTTTCCGCCTTTGTATCTTCTTGGGATTTTGATGTGAGGGCTAACTTACAGATGAGAAGATGGGTTCCTGGAAGACAAGTGACCTACTCAGGATCACGCAGTGAGTGCAGCCCAGCCGGGGCTCAGCTCCAGGTGTGCATCTTGATATGGCATTTGGGACTGGGCACCCCTGCCTGCTCCCCGCTACTACACTCCTGGAGCTGGAGTGGTTTATGGCAGAGCCAGAGGCCTGAATGGTGTGTGTCACATGCAGCCTCCACGCTCCTGTGGCCGAGGCTTTTACAAAGTACACTGCAAACCCCTTTGCCATTAAAGCAATTACCACTTCAAGGACAACCACCCTTCAGGCCTTTGGCTAGACACGGGGCCTGAATGCCCAGTCCCATGAAAATGAAAAACCCAAGTGTATGTGGAATGGCAAAGAGCAAGCAGGCCCAGGGTCACGGTCTATGAGCACCAGCCTCTTCCTGACTGTCTGCCCCTCCCCACCCTAAAAAGACGCCCGGCACTCTGGGATGCTTCTCTTTCTTTGTTTTGTTTTGTTTTGTTTTGTTTGAGACGGAGTTTCACTCTTGTTGCCCAGGCTGGAGTGCAATGGCGCAATCTCGGCTCACTGCAACCTCCGCCTCCCAGGTTCAAGCGATTCTCCTGCCTCAGCCTCCCGAGTAGCTGGGATTACAGGCATGCACCACCACGCCCAGCTAATTTTGTGTATTTTTAGTAGAGACAGGGTTTCTCTATGTTGGTCAAGCTGGTCTCAAACTCCCGACCTCAGGTGATCCACCCGCCTCAGCCTCCCAAAGTGCTGGGATTACAGGCGTGAGCCACCATGCCCAGCCTTGGGATGCTTCTTAATAGCATATCCCAGGTTACAGGAGCACGCTGGTGCCCATTTGTTCACAGGATTGGTCCTCATGGCCACTATGGGAGAAGATGGATGGGAACAGGAACCCGTGGCTCCTAAGGGTTTTCTGGCCCAGCTGGGATTCTAACCCGAGTCTCCTGATCTCGAGCCCCATGCTCCACCCACAGCCCTCTGCTGCTCCCTGCACCCATGGGACAATCAGAGAGGACAGGACAAAACTACATGACAAGTGAGTGACTGAGATCCCAAGAGCCATGAGAGAATTACCAGGCCATCTTCATGCTCTGTAGAAAAAACTGAGACCTTTCAGGAAATCATAAATACCCCTCAGTTACTATTTTCTCCACTGTACTCCATCCTAAAATGTGAGGCCACAATCTTTTCTGCTTTTAAAAGAAGCTCACAGCGGTCGGGTGTGGTGGCTCATGCCTGTAATCCCAACACTTTGGGAGGCTGAGGCAGGAGAATCACTTGAACCTGGGAGGAAGAGGTTGCAGTGAGCCAAGATTGCACCATTGCACTCCAGCCTGCTGGGTGACAGAGCGAGACTCCGTCTAAAAAAAAAAAAAAAAAAAAAAAAGAAGAAGCTCATAGCAAGAAAAGAAAAGGGTCAGAGTCCAACATTTTAAGTCTGGAAGTGATAAACTTTTTATTAAGGCAGTTTCAACTTTTATCATTAGCATGTAATAAATTATTCCCAGCTTTCAGTGCCTTGGTAATTGTCTCCAAAGAATCTCATTAAACATTGCTGGATACTTTTGATCATTTTTAATAAACGTGATAACTTGGAATACTCTTGCATTTCTTAGTGGAAGCTGCAAACCTGAAGCATTTTAATAGATAATTAATGACGGGGGAAATCTCTAGGGGAAAGCACCAGGGTTGTCTCGCCTTTGTTCTTCCCAGCAGTCCCTCTCTAGGTCAAGGAAAAAGTTTGCCAAACAAAGTCAGATCATCTTGAGTTCCTGCTCCACTGTTTCCTGGCTGTGGGTCTGTGGACACATTTCTTAAGTTCCCTGAGCATCCATTTTTTTCTTTTTTTTTTTTTTATTATACTTTAAGTTTTTTCCATCTGAGTTGTTGTAACTATCAGTGAGAGGATAAACTTCAAAGCTGCAACATAGAAGATGCTCAGAAAATGCCAAGTTCTATTATCATTAGCCAAGAAACATGTTCTCATATATTTTTATCTAAAGCTCAAAATTGTGAAATTTTAGTTGGAAGTTCCTAAAGTCGCCAGGATTAGTTCATCACAGCCCCTTGGAATCAAGATTCCTCTCTGTTCTGGCATACTAGGCTCACGCCTGTAATCCCAGCACTTTGGGAGGTAGAAGCGGGTGGATCACTTGAGGTCAGGAGTTCGAGACCAGCCTGACCAACATGGATAAACCCCGTCTCTACTAAAAATACAAAAACTAGCCAGATGGTAGTGGTGCATGCCTGTAATCCCAGCTACTCGGGAGGCTGAGGCAGGAGAATCACTTGAACCCAGGAGGCGGAGGTTGCGGTGAGCCAAAGTCGTGCCACTGCACTCCAGCCTAGACAACAGAGTGAGACACTGTCTCAAAAAAAAAAAAAAAAAAGATTAATATATATTATGCTTTTACTAGATGCCAGGCACGATGCTATGACCTTTCATATGAATCATCTCATTTGGTGTTTACGACACTTTTAAGAAGAGGGAACTACTGTCCACGTTTTACTGATGGAAAAAATGAGGCCAAAGAGGTTATTTAATTGTCCAAAGTCACTCAGGCAAGAAGCAGTGAGGTTGGAATTCCAACTCATGCACTCAACCTCTGGCACCAGCGTCCTCTATCACCTTCTCACATTTCTTTCAACATTTTGGGGTTCAAACTCACCTTTATGAAAGCAGAGGACTGATGGCTTGGAATCTGCTTCATTTTATCTCCAGCCTCCTCCCATGTGAACCAAAGAAGATTCTAAGATTTCCCAGTCAATTTCCTAATATCCAGCCAATGTCCTCACTAGCCTACTTCTAAATCTGAGTTGTGAAGCAGATTACATTTTCCAAAAATAGTCTATCAATATCTCCAATCCCACATGCTCTTCTCCTCTTCTTTTTTCTTTCTTCTTTTTTTTTTCTTTTTTGAGACTGGGTCCCACTTCATCATCCAGGCTGGAGTGCAGTGGCACAAACACAGCTCACTGCAGCCTTGACCTCCCTGGGCTCAGATGATCCTCCCATCTTAGTCTCCCAAGCAGCTGGGACCACAGGCATGCCTACCACCACACTCAGCTAATTTATAGATAGATAGGTAGATAGATGATAGATAGATAGATAGATAGATAGATAGATAGATAGATAGACAGATAGAAAGATAGTTTTGTTTTTTTTTTTGAGACGGAGTTTTGCTCTTGTTGCCCAGACTAAAGTGCAATGGTGCGATCTCAGCTCACCGCACCCTCCACCTCCCAGGTTCTTCCCCCTCAGCCTCTCGAGTAGCTGGGATTACAGGTGACCACCATCATGCCCAGCTAATTTTTGTATTTTTAGTAGAGAAGGGTTTTCACCATGTTAGCCAGGCTGGTCTCGAACTGCTGACATCAGGTGATCCACTCACCTCGGCCTCCCAAAGTGCTGGGATTACAGGCATAAGCCACCATGCCCAGCTGAATTTTTTTTTTTTTTTTTGTAGAGAGGGGGTTTCTTCATGTTGCCCAGGCTGTTCTTGAACTCCTGAGCTCAAGCAATCTGCCCACATTGGCCTCTCAAAGGATGCTCTTCTTATAATCTGATTTTGACAGTCTTTCCACTCAGAGATGGGGGTCCATGTTCCCTTCCCTTAAATCTGGGAGGGTTTGTTGCTATGTGGCTTCCAAGGGTAGGTCATAGGAGACACTTCAGCATCCATGTGAGTCTCCTGGGATGCTCAATCTCAGAGCTCATCACCATGTTGTGAGCAGGCACAGATATTCTGTGATGAGACCCGTGAGAAAAGGCTCACATGGAAAGGAACTGAGGCCCCTCCCACCAGCACTCAGACCTAGCTGAGATCCCAGCCAATTGCCAAGGCCAACGTGTCAATCCCAGCTGCCTCTGTGAGTGAGTCCACCGTATTGGAAGTGGATCTTGTAGCCCTCAGTTGAGCCTAATCAGCTGATGCTACATAGAGCACAGACCAGGCTTTCTCACCAAACTGTGTCTAAACTGCAGATTTATGAGTGAAATAAACATTGTTGTGGGCTACTATGTTTTGGGGTAGTTTGTTATGTAGTGATAGATAAACTGGAACAAGTTTCAACCACTGTTTTGCTTTCCTGACAGATACATTGAACTGTCCCTGCATGTGTTCGCTTGAATGTCCTCAAATCACTTCAGACTTCACGTGTTTAGGGACTTCCACTTCCACTTCCACTTCCACTTTGGACACGGAAATCCCCCGAGAAATGTCATTCCCATCCTCACTATGAGAAAGAAATCCAGGTAATCTACAAAATTATACGTTTTTTGAGCCCATTAGAGAGCTGAGCTCAGAAGGCAGCCAAGTGAACTGAATTCTGAAGAGTGGCAAATCCTTTTAAGGAGCAATGGGTCATATGAAATGTTTCACCTTTGGCAAAACATTGGAAGAAAATGTGGCCACCATAAAAGTAGGTAAGAAGAAATCAGCTAAAACGCGAATGAATCCTTGAAGAATGAGTGTAGGCTAGCATGAACGTACAGAAAATTGAGAGCCCCAGAAGCAAGGGAAGTTTGCACTCACTTGCAAGCTCTTTTCCAGAAGTCTCAGCTGTGTGATCATGGGAAAGACTAGACACAGGGCAGGAGATTGAAGAAGGCTCAAGTCGGGGGCACCAGCATGCAGGTGCTGGTCAGCTGCAGCTGGGTCACAGGAACGAAGCCTTTCTCATTTTCTCAGAACTTTCTTTCCCAAAGCAAAAGCCTTGAGCTACTGGGATGACAGAGAGAAAACCCCCTTCCTCCCAGGGCCTAAGCAAAGACACTCTACTTTTTTGGGAAGAGGTAAGAGCCAAACCATCTGATTCTGGGGGAGGAGCAGAAACAAAAGCCTGCTGCCCTTGGGGAAGGGGAGGAAACAGTATCAGGTCCATAATCTTGCACTTACACAAAGCATAGGTTTACTCATTCTGGGAGAAGAAAGGGTCCTGTGCCAACCATAGACACAAGGAGTGTCAGACTGCCATGGAGAGAGAACCAAGACTGTCAATAAAGTCCCATCCCTGAGGCCCAGAGGCACAAGGTCTTCCCAAGACTGAAGATCAACAAAAAGTGAGAAGAGCCCTCATGCCATCACGAGCCTCACCCTGGGCACAGCAACGGCGATCTTCTGATGGAGGATGGAGAAAGACTCCCTCAGTGTTGCAGGTGTGCAGAGGCTGCTAAAATCTGAGGGTGAAGCAGGACAACCAAGAAAAACTCCCTGGTATGGCAGGCCCAATACTAAGCACAAAATAACAGCAGATCTCCTCTGGAGGAATGTAAAGCATGTGGTACACGGAAAGAAGGGATAGCAACAGAAAACCTTAGCCCAGCTCAACCCTTCATCAGATTAACACAGCCTCTACCCTAAGAATCTGACCAAAGAAGAAGTATGCCCACTCCTGGGATAAAAATCACTGACCTCAGCCCCTACTGTTCCTCTACACACAAGGTCAGACATTCAGTATCAAGCTGTGAGACATGCAACAAAAGAAGGAACGCACAACGCACTATCAGTAGATAAAGCAATTAACAGAACCAGACTCAGAGATGATACTGATGTCAGAAACATCAGACTAAGACTTTCAAATGACTGTGATTCATATGATAAAGTATCTAGTGGGGGATAGGTGGAAAAGATACAGGAACTGATGGAGAATTTTGGCAAAGAAATGAAAACTATTTTATAAATGGGAAAAGTCAATTGCTATAAATGTACAAATACGACGTCAGGGATAAAGAATTTCTCTGACATGCTTATTAGTAGAGTAGACTCAACTGAAGGAGAATTGTTGAACCCGAATATGTCGGTGAAAATTATCCAAATTAAAACTCAAAGTGAAAAACAAAGAGAACGTTCAAGAGCTGTGAGACAATATAAAACAGTCTAGCATATATGTAATTGGAACCAAGAAGGAAAAGAGAAAGAGAAAATGGGAGCAAATATTTGAAGAAATAGTGTCTAAGAATTTTCTAAAATTAATGAAATACAGCAAACCATAGATCCAACTTCAGAGAACCTCAAGCAGAATAAGTTACAGCACACACACACACTCTCTCTCTCTCTCACAGACACACCTAGACGCATCATAGTTAAACTGCTAAAAACTTAAATTAAAAAGAAGAAGACAGTCTTGAATGTAGTCAGAGGAAATAAACATTACATACAAAAAGCAAATATAAAAACTGAGCAGACTTACGGAAAGAAATGTTGCAAGCTAGAAGAAAATGGACTGACACTTTCAAAGTACTAAAATAAAAAGCTGTCAGTCTAGAATTTTATATAAAGCAAAAATATCTTTTAGAAATGAAGGTAAGATAGAGATTCTTCAAACAAAAGCCAAAAGGAAGTACTGCTAGCAGACCTGCACTCCAAGAACTGTTAAGGGAAATTCTTTGGGAATGTAATACCAGAAGGAAATTTGGATCTATACAAAGAAATGAAATACAAAAAGTGTAAAAATGTTGGTAAATATAAAAGACACTTTAAGACTAATTTTTAAATTGTTTTAAAAAATAATTGTCCAGCACTTTGGGAGGCCGAGGCAGGTGGATCACCAGGTCAGGAGATCGAGACCATCCTGGCCAACATGGTGAAACTCCATCTCTACTAAAATACAAAAAAGTAGCCAAGTGTGGTGGCATGTGCCTGTGGTCCCAGCTACTCGGGAGGCTGAGGCAGGGGAATCTCCTGAACCTGGGAGGTGGAGATTGCAGTCAGCCGAGATCATGCCACTGCACTCCAGCCTGGCGAGAGAGCGAGACTCTGTCTCCAAAAAAAAAAAAAAAACATATATATGTATATACATGTCTCCCTGAAGTAAAAATAGTAACAATGTATCTGAAGTTTATAGTCTAAGTAGAAGTAAAGTCAGCTATGGCACCAAAAACGAGAGTAAGGAAATGGAAATATATGGCTTCTATAAGGCTGTACACTATACCTGAAGTAGTGTAATATTATATGAAGAAAGACTGTGATAAGTTAAAGGTATATATTTTAAACCCTACAGCAATCACTAAAAAGTTGAAAAAGAGGTACAACAAGCAAACCAACAGTGGAGATAAAAATGAGTTATGAAAAATGTCCCACTGATTCAAATGAAAGCAGAAAACTAGAACAAGGTTTAAAAAAAAAAAAAAGCAGATGTAACAAATAGCAAACAACCAGCAAGATTAATATGAAGAGCCCTGGTTTACCCTTCAGCCTTCTTTCCTCCTGAGCCTGCTATAATATTTAACTTAGAACGCATCATTCTTAGTGAGCCTCTGCCTCCTTCATCAGCATCCAGCCATTCTGTGTACTATTTCTGAAAGTGCCAAAGCACCTTCTGCCTTGATCCATTAATTCACAGCCACAGAACATTTCAAGCCCTAAAGAATCTTTACAAAAGGTTATTGATTGTATCAAAGGCGGATCAGAGTGAAGCCTGTTATCTGAAGATAAGCGTGTGCAGCGCTCCCTCGTCAGTGAAACATCACCTGAGAAACAAAACCTCCGCGTCCTCACTCCTCCCCCACGCTGGGCTCCGGCTCCTCATCAAAGAGGAACCACATATTTGTTTTCAGGCTGAAATGGAATTTTAAATATAAGATGGTTTCAGAATAAAATCAGATGTTTTTTAAAAGTGAAAGAAGAGAAAAGAAAAAATCGAGCAAAATCACATATTTAAATGTGTATATTAAATCCAGCAAGCTTAATAACTGAACTAAATATAAATGGCCTAAGCAGCCCAATTTAAAAACAGAAATATCAGATTTGATTAACAAAAATCAAGACCCAGCAGTATGCTATCTATATAAAAAACACACTTCCAATGTAAAATCATAGATAGGTTAAACACAAAAGAATGAAAAAATATAAAAACTCATTAAAAGAAAGCTGGAGTGGCTATGTCAATATCAAACCAAGTAGACTCCAGAGCAAAGAATATCATCAGAGATAGAGACATTACATAATCAAAAAACAAAAATCTTAATGTGTATGCACTTAACAACAGAGCTTCAGAACAAATAAAGCAAAAATTGATAAAACTGTAAGGAGAAATAGGCAAACTCACAATTACACTTGGAGATTCCCCACTCTCTCGGTAATCAAAGACCATGTGGACTGAAAACCACAAAGGATATAAGTGACCTGAACAACAAAATCAGAGAAGATGAACCTTAAGTCTCTTCCAGAAAATAGAAAGGGAGGGAAGAGTTTCCAATCTGTTTTATGAGGCCAGCATTACCCTAACAATTATGTCAGTCAAAGAAATCACAAGAAAAGAAAACTACAGGGCAATGTTTTTCATGCATGTCGTTGAAAAATCTTTAGCTAAATATTAGCAAATTGAATCAAAAATATATGAAAATAATAATATGATACAATCTAGTGAAAATTTTTCCAGGAATTCAAGATTGATTCAAGACTCAACCAATGCAATACATGATAACAACAGACTGAAAAACGAAAAGCATATGATTATCTTAATAAATGCTGAAAAAGAAGATGGTACTATTCAGTATTCATATATGATATTTTTAAACCATCCACAATCTAGGAATAGAAGAAATTTTCACAGTATAAAAAAAGACATCTATGAAGAAACTGACAACTGAACTTTCATAGCCAATGCTGACAGATTAAATGCTTTTCCTCAAAGACAGAGAATAAGACAAGGATGTCTTTTTTCACCACTCCCATTCAATATAATACTGGAAGTTCTATCATTATGAAAGGCAAGAAAAGGAAATAAATGGCATATCCTTTGGAAAGGAAGAACTATAACTCTATATTAGCAGATGGCATGATTGACTATATAGAAAATCTCAAAAATGTACCAAAAAGGTTAACTGAATTAATAAGTGAATTCATCAAGTTTGGTTGCAGAATAATCTGAAGCCTTCAAAACCTTTCTGAGAGAAAATAAAGAGTACCTAAATAAGTGGAGAAATATACCAAGTTCATGGATCAAAAGACAGCATATTTTTAAGAAATTTATTTTCCCCAGACTGATCACAATTACAGTCAAAATTTCAGGAGGCTTCTTCTGTAAAAATTAACAAGTTGACTACAAGAGGTATGTGAAAAAAATTTATGTGGAAAAGGACCTAGAAGAACCAAAGCAATTTTTAAAAAGAGCAACATTGGAGGATGCACACTAGCTGACTTCAAGGCTTACTATGCAATTGTAGTAATTAAGACAGTGCACATTGGCACAAGGAGGGGCGTATATACCAATGTAACAGAGATTAGAAAATCAGAGATATACACATGTGCAGTCCATTGATTTCTAACAAAGGTGCCAAGGAAATTCAAAGGGGAAAGAATGCCTTTTCCAACAAATAATTCTGGAAGTATTGGATATCTTTATGGAAAATTATTAACCTCAACCCTCCACTTATACCATATATGAAATTAATTTCAAATGGGTTGTAGACCTAAAGTTAAAACCTAACTTTTAAAAACTTCTAGAAGAAAATATAGAAAAAAATTTTAATGACTTTGAGTTAGTCAAGGATTTCTTAGGACACAAAAAGTGCAAACCAAAAGTGAAAAAACCTGATAAATATGATTTATAAAACTTAAAAACTGTCCTTCCTTTGAAGGACATTGTTTAGAATTTTTTAAATTTATTTATTTTATTTTTCTTAAGCATTGGGGAACAGGTGGTATTTGGTTACATGAGTAAGTTCTTTAGTGGAGATTTGTGAGAACCTGGTGCACCCATCACCCGAGCAGTATACACTGCACCTATTTATTGTCTTTTATCCCTTGCCCCTCCCACTCTTCCCCCAAAATTTAAAGACAAGCCACAGAGTGCTAGCAGATATTTGCAGAACAGCTATGTAATAAAGGACTTGTGTTCAGAATGTGTAAATAATTCTAACAACTCAGTAAGAAGAAAATAAAACAAATGTGGGCAAAAGTTTCAAACACACATTTCACCAAATAAGATACACAGATGGCAAATGAGCACATGAAAAGATGTTCAACATCATTAGTTATTACCATAAGGAAATGCAAGTTAAAACCAAAATAAAATATCACTCTGTATCCACTAAAATTGCCAAAATTAAAAAAAAAACAACTGACAACAGCAAGTGCTAGAGAGGATGCAGAGCAACTAGAACTCTTGTATATTGCAAGGTGCAATGCAAAGCGATGCAATCACTTTTGGATACAGTTTGGTGGTTCCTTATGATGCGAAATATACATGTATCATATGACCTGGCAAGGCTACTCCTCGGTATTTACCAAAGAGAAATGAAAACTACATCTACCCAAAGATGTACATATCAGTGTTTAGAGCAGTTTTGTTCATAATGGCCTCAAACTAGAATCAACCAAGGTGTCCTTCAACAGATGAATCAATAAGCAAACGGTAGTGCATTCATGTAATGAAATACTATCCAGCAAATAAATGAAATACCAACACACAAACGATATGAATACATCACAAACTGTATTCTAAGTGAAAGAATAAACATGTGACAATGACTACTGTATTATTTATTTCATGTTACATTCTGTGAAAGTCAAAGCTATAGAGACAGAAATCAGGTCAGTGTTTGCCAGGGCTGTGGGAGGTATGGAATACTGATGACAAAGGGGCAGAATAGAATGTTTTGGAGTAATGAAAGTGTTCTGTATCTTGATTACAGTAGTGGTTATACAACTTTATCCATTGCCAAAGATCACCCCAAAAATATAAATACTTTTGTATATATTTTTGCCAAAGATCACCCTAAAAATATAAATACTATTGTATATATTTTTGCTTTCAATAAGCCTGGATTTAAAACAAACTGTTAATGTGCAGGCCAAATTCATCATGTTCCCCCTCCACAAGCCCCCTCTTCATGATGGTACCCAGTCCCCCAAGCCTGAGAATTAGCCACAAGTTCCCTTTACTTACTTCCCATTTCCAGACGTTAAAACCCACCAAATTCTACCACCAACATATTTCTCTTTCTCTTTTCTCGCTCTCTTCCCCCATTTCTACCCTCTCATCCTGTCCCATTGGTCTGTCTGCCGCCGGTTCACCCACACCTGGTGCCCAAGTGGACTTCTCCCTGATCATATCACTGCCCCACTTCATACCCTTCCCTGGCTCCTCATTACCCGCCCACCGCCAGGTACCATTCCAAACATCTTAGCAAAGAGGGAAACCCTTTGTAATCTGGTATCTGATGACCAGAAAAGCCTTTTCTGTTCATGTCCTTTGCCTATTTTTTAATGGTGTTGTTTGGTTTTTGCTTATTAACTTGTTTAAGGTCCTTACAGATTCTGGGTATTAGGCCTTTGTCAGATGCATAGTTTGCAAATATTTTCTCCCATTCTCTAGGTTGTCTGTTTATTAATAGCTTCTTATGCTATGCAGAAAGAAGCTCCTTCATTTAATTTCATCTCATTTGTCAATTTTTGGTTTTGCTGCAGTTGCTTTCGGAGTCTTTGTCATGACTTCTTTCCCAGGGCCTATGTTCAGAATGGCATTTCCCAGATTTTCTTCTAGGGTTTTTGTTGTTTTAGGCTTTACATTTAAGTGTTTAATCCTATTTCAGTATTAATGGACATTAGAATCTCTTGTGCTTGACTACTGTTTTCAATGAAAATTTATTAATAGAGTGCCCATTGATATCCCAAAAAGAGCAAGATAGTATTTCTCTAGTATGTCATGTTACTATCTTCAAAAGGAAAAGATTTTTTAAAAAAGATTAATGACTACAAAACATGGCCATTTATTAATTGAAACAATAAGTGTTGTTTCTGTTTTTTTTTTAAAAAAAAAAGAAGATAAAAGAAAAGCCCCTTCTCATGCCATTCTGCCTACATGCTCCATGTTCCAGGCGTGGTGATTGGCCTCATTCCATGACTCTCCATACCTTGGTTAATGCTGTTCCCTTTTCCCAGAATGCCCTACTACTTGTTTATATAGACTGTGGTTGATGGAGGGGAAGGACAACCTACTGTAAAGAGATCACAGTCTGGAGCCAGATTGCCTGGGTTTGAATCCAGGCTCTAGCACCTATGCACTATTTAACTTTATGTTACTTGACTTTTCTGTGCCTGTTTCCTTATCTCTAAAATAGGGATGTCAAACTGTCTCTATAATTATAGTGACGATACATCCTGGCTGGCCCTAATGTCCTCTCTTCCCTTTATACTCACAAAGCTGTCTTGGTTTGGATGATAAATATGTGATCTTCCTATCTATAGAGTTGTTAGGGAGATTAAGTGAGGTAATACGTACAGAGTCCTTGAAAAAAATGCCTGGCATATGTTAAGTGCTATGTGTTTCAGAAAAAGTTAATCCAGCAATTGAAGGGATTGAGGATAGAGAGAAAGAAGAAAGGAGAGAAAGAGGGGAGGAAGGGAGGAGGGAGGAAAAAAGGAGGAAGGAAGTAGAGATGGAAAGAGGGAGGAAGAAATGAAGAAGAAGGAAAACATAAGGAAGGCAGGGTAATGTCTTTACAAACCACCTACCAATTTGGGAAGATTTTCCCTTGAATTAATGACACGAAAATCAGCCTTTCCACCAGAACGTCATTTGTAGGCAAGGCCAGTCTCCAGAATGCCCCACATCTTTCAAAGACACACGTTCACCTACCTTGTTTGTGAATAATGACCTCTTATTTTCTTTCCAGTGGAACCAAGTAGGAGCTGCCAGACATCCCGGGGAGGCTTTTCTGTGCTGTCTCACTGCAAAGAAACACAGCCTGATTCCTATTTCTGGTGCAGAACCAAGCAGAGGATCTGTGCTGGGATTTTTTTTTTTAATACTTTAAGTTCTAGGGTACATGTGCACAAAGTGCAGGTTTGTTAAATATGTATACATGTGCCACGTTGGTGTGCTGCACCCATTAATTCGTCATTTACCAGCACAGGGGAACATCACACACCTGTGCTGGGTTTTAAAGAAGGCCTTTTAGATACTTTAGGAAAGCCATACTTCTTCCACAGTTGGGATTTATTAGAAAAGGTGCTATATGTCTCCAGGTACTCGACCAATCTTTGACTGATGTCTTTGGGACTCAGATGGGTGGAGACATCAGACCAGATGTGGAGGCCAGGCTCCCATCTGGTTCTCAGGAGTCATCTTCCCCACCTATGATCTCATTATATCACAGTTTTATTAAAAGCCCATCATTAGCTCCTCACTGCCTTATGGATGATCCAAACTCTGTACCCTAGTAGGTCTCAAACATCAGTGTGCTTTAGAATCTCCTGGAGACCTTGTTAATATGTGAGTCGCTGGGCTGTACCTCCAGAGTTTCTGATTCAGTAGGTCTGTGGTAGGATCCAAGAATGTGCATTTCAAACAAATTCCCACAAAATATTGGCTGTTAGTGCAGAAATCATATTTTGAGGACCACTGTCTTGGACAAAACTCAGTCCCTTAGACCTTCCCTGGCCATTCCTACCTCCAAGCCTTTGTTTAATCTTTAATTCCCACTGGACAATAATTCTCTACTCATACAATGTTATATTTCAAGATTTAACTCTGCCAGGCACGGTGGCTGACGCCTGTAATCCCAGCACTTTGGGAGGCCGAGGTGGGCGGATCACGAGGTCAGGAGATCGAGACCATCCCGGCTAACACGGTGAAACCCCATCTCTACTAAAAATACAAAACAAAACAAAAAAAATTAGCCGGTTGTAGTGGCAGGTGCCTGTAGTCCCAGCTACTTGGGAGGCTGAGGGAGGAGAATGGCTTGAACCCAGGAGATGGAGCTTGCAGTGAGCCGAGATCCTGCCACTGCATTCCAGCCTGGGCAACAGAGCAAGACTCTGTCTTAAAAAAAAAAAAAAGATTTAACTCTAGCTTCACCAGGATGTTTGAACACTTTAGTCCTTGCTGACAGTTCCCTTTAGCAAAATTGGGTCATGGTAGGAGTAAGCAGGCCCTTGATGACTTGCTGTTTGTACTAATATTTTATCATTTCAAGCACATTTACAGTTGTGAACTAAAAAGGAACCTCTGCAAACCTGCTCTGTGTTCTAGGTACCAGTGTGGTAGTGGATTTAAGATAAAGAAAAGGCAAGATTTCTACCACTGTTAACCTTACAGACCTGTAAGAGAAGCAAAATGTACATCAGTGCTGCCCGATAGGAATATTTTATTGTCCGATATACAATAAAAGAAACATAGCTATGAGTAAATTTACCATTACGTACAACATATGTAAATGTAAAATTACATACGACATATGTAATTGTAAATTTACTCATAGCCATGTTTATTTTATCGTACGTTTATGTTTCAGTAAGCACTTTTTTTTAGATTTGGGGGTACATGTGCAGGTTAGTTTCATGGATATACTACATGATTCTGAGGTCTGGGCTTCTACTGATTCCAACACCAAAATAGTGAACATAATATCCAAAGGGTAGCTTTTCAACTTGTGTTAGTCTGTGTTGCATTGATATAAAGGAATACCTGAGATTGCGTAGTTTATAAAGAAAAGAGATTATGTAGCGCACAGTTCTGTAGGCTGTACAAAGAGTAAAGTCCAAGCATCTACTTCTGGTTGAGGCCTCCAGAAATTTCCAATCGTGACAGAAGGCAAAGGGGGAGCTGGCATGCTACATGGCCGAGAGGGAGTAAAAGAGAGAGGAGAGACTTCCCAGACTCTTTTAAAACAACCAGATCTCACATGAGCCCATTATTGGAGGATGGCACCAAGCCATTCATGAAGGATCCATCCCCATGACCCAAACATCTCCCACTGGGCCCCACCTCCAACATTGGAGGTCACATTTCAACATGAGATTTTGAGGGAACAAAACATCCAAACCACATAGACAACACTTGCCCCTCATCCCTCCCTCCTGCCTTCTGGATCCCCCAGTGTCTATCGTTCCCATCTTTATGGCCACGTGTACCCAGTGTTTAGCTCCCACTGATAAGTGAGAACACACGGTATTTGATTTTCTGTTTCTGCTTTAATTCACTTAGGATAATGGCCTCCAGCTGCATCCATGTTGCTGCAAAGGATATGATTTTGTTCTTTTTTTATGGATGTGTAGTATTATTCCATGGTGTATATGTAACACATTTTATTTTATTTTATTTTACTTTAAGTTCTGGAATACATGTGCAGAATGTGCAGGTTTGCTACATAGGTATACATGTGCTATGGTGGTTTGCTGCACCTATCAACGCATCATCTAGGTTTTAAGCCCCACATGCATTAGGTATTTGTCCTAATGCTTTCCCTCCCCTTGCCCCGCCAAACCCCAACAGGCCCCAGTGTGTGATGTTCCCCTCCCTGTGTCCAAGTGTTCCCATTGTTCAACTCCCACTTATGAGTGAGAACATGTGGTGTTTGGTCGTCTATTCTTGTGTTAGTTTGCTGAAGATGATGGTTTCCAGCTTCATCCATGTCCCTGCAAAGGACATGAACTCATTTCTTTTTATGGCTGCATAGTATTCCATGGTGTATAATTCACCATTGATGGAGACTTAAGTTGATTCCATGTCTTTGCTATTGTGAATAGCACTGTGATGAACATGCCAGTACGTGTGTCCCTTTAGTAGAACAATTTATTTTCCTTTGAGTGTACCTAGTAATGGGAATGCTGGGTCCAATGGTAGCTTTTTTAAAAATTCTTTGAGAAATTTCCAAACTGCTCTCCACAGTGGCTGAACTAATTTATATTCCCACCAACAGTGTATAAGTATTCCCTTTTCTGTGCAACCTCCCCAACATCTGTTATTTTTTGACTTTTTATAACAGCCATTCTGCCTGGTGTGATGGTATCTCATTGTGGTTTTGATTTGCATTTCTCGAATGATTAGTGATGTTAGGCATTGTTTCATATATTTGTTAGTCACTCGTTTGTCTTTCAGAAGTGTCTGTTCTTGTCCTGTGCCCACTTTTTAATGAGGTTATTTGTTTTTTCTTGTTGATTTGTTTAAGTTCCTTATAGATTCTGGTATTAGTCCTTTCTCAGGTACATAGTTGTGAATATTTTCTCCCAC
Source organism: Homo sapiens (assembly GCF_000001405.40). NCBI lineage: Eukaryota > Metazoa > Chordata > Mammalia > Primates > Hominidae > Homo > Homo sapiens. Next base: position 5,986,646 of record NC_000017.11, on the reverse strand, counting down.
TCTGTAGGTTGTCTGTTTAATCTGTTAATAGTTTCTTTTGCTGTGCAGAAGTTCTTTGGTTTAATTAGGTCTCACTTATCAATGTTTTTTTTTTTTTGCAATTGTCATTGCTACATCTAAAAAATCAGAAAGAAACAGATGAAATTAATTTTAATAATATAGTTTATTTACCCCAATATACCCAAAATATCATCTTTTCAACATGGAATCAATATAAATATCAATGAGATGTTTTGCATTCCATTTTCTAACTAAATCTTTAAAATATAATGACTATGTTATATTTTCAGTACATCTGAATTCTAATTAGCCATTTTCAAGTACTCAGTAACCACGTGTAGCTACTGGCTACCCTATTAAGGAATGCAGATAGGCATCAAAAGATAATTCATGGAATCTAGCAGATTTTGACTGGGAACTGCATGAGACAAGCTTGAGTGGGGCTCAACACTCAGTTTCATCCTGAACGTCAGCTGCAGTGAGGAGAACCCAGGAGTGCCCAGTCTGAGAACAGAGTCAAAGACCACATGTGGTCCAGTGGGGAAAAAAAATACTCAGAGTGACAGGCTGTACGTTTGAGACCTGGGTTTTCCATGGACTAGTTGTGAAATCACAAGCCTGGCACTTACCTTCTTTGATCCTTGAGTATACTGAGTAGTGGGGGTACCTGCTCTAAACAAAGTTGCTGTCACGAGAATGTGAGTGTATCCGTATGCTAGGGCTGCCATAACAAAATGCCACAGATGGGGTGGTTTAAATAACAGGAATTTATTTTCTCACAGTTCTGGAGGCTGGAAGTCCAAAATCAAGATGCTGGCAGGGTTGGCTTCTCTGAAGGCCTCTCTCCTTGGCTTGCAGATGGCCACCAGCTTGTGGCCTCTTCATATAACCATCCCTCTGAGTTATTTCCTAGTGCCTCCTGTGTCCGAATTTCCTCTTTTTTTTTTTTTTTTTTTTTTTTTGAGACGGAGTCTCCCTCTTTCACCCAGGCCGGAGTGCAGTGGCGTGATCTTGGCTCACTGCAAGCTCTGCCTCCTGGGTTCACGCCATTCTCCTGCCTCAGCCCCACCGAGTAGCTGGGACTACAGGCACCCGCCACCATGCCCAGCTAATTTTTTGTATTTTTAGTAGAGACAGGGTTTCACCGTGTTAGCCAGGATGGTCTCGATCTCCTGACCTCATGATCTGCCCACCTCGGCGTCCCAAAGTGCTGGGATTACAGGTGTAAGCCACCACGCCCGGCCCAAATTTCCTCTTCTTATAAGGACACCAGTCAGATTGGATTGGGACCTACCCTAATGGTCTCTTTTTAACTTAAGCACCTCTTCAAAGTTTCTGTCTCCAAATACAGCCTGTGGAGGTTAAACTTTAACATGTGAATTTTAGGGGAATACAATTTAGTCTATATCAGAGTTAAAAGAAAGTAGATGTCTTTTGGGTTGTACTAAAGCAAGGAGGAGATATTACTATGGGTTGAAGCCACAGGCCAAACAGAAGGCCATTGCAGTGACCTGACCATCGGGTTCCCCATCAGAGGGTTGAACGGGATCAGGGGACAGTCGCTGAATCCCTGTCTCGGGTGTTGACTTCCAGCAAACTGCTATAGGGATACTGTCTCATTATATCTTTTCATTTCAGTATCCAGGGATGTAAGAAAAAAGAGAAAGTAAAGAAACAAAATAAGGCCAAAGAAACAACAACAAATTTCCCTTCCAACCTCATCTCCTCTAAAACTTTCTTTAGCCTTATATTCCAGAGACTTGGGCTATCTCCCAGGCTAGTGATTCTCAAACTTGTTGTTCTCAGGATGACTTTACACATTTAAGGATATTTTCATTATATAGGTTATATTTATTAATATTCACTATATTAGAAATTAAAGCAGAAATCATAAAAGCATTCATTTAAAAATCATAATAAGGTCATCTCATGCTAACATGTTTTTAAATAAAAGATAACTATATTCTAAAAAGAAACTAGTTAGAAGAGTGACATTGTCATCCACCTTTGCAAATCTCTTTAACGTCTAGCTTAATAGGAGATGGCTAGATCCTTCTATCTGCTTCAGCATTTATTCTGTTCTGTTGTAATATGTCATTTTGGTTAAAAACATGAAGAAAATTGAGCCTCACACAGATATGAAGTTAGAAAAGGGAGAATGTTTTAGTAATATTTTAAAAAGATAATTATGGGTATTCTCCTTTGATACAATCATCTTTATTAAATGAGGAACCTGAAATTATATCAACAAACATTTTTGTACTTCATTGTATTAAAATCATCCATCTATCTTGAACTTTGAATGAATCTTACACCATGCATTACTTTGTAACATCATGCATTGGTCATTTGGAAAATATTGGTCCACTGAGCCACACAGATATTTCAAATGTTGACACATTTCATTATCCAGTACCAAAAATTCACATTTTTTAATATCACCACAGGCCTCATCATGTAAGTCTTCAAATATGGAGAACCGCTAGGCTCAATTGTGGCTGTTACAAGATCTTCAAAATTCTAATTTTAATTGAAAACTTGATTTTTATCATTGGCAACAAATATTGTCATTGCTTCCCTTGTAATTAACAGGTTTGCTTCACTTATTTTCAAGAAGTGTCTGAAAAATACCTGTTTGAATATCCATAGCCTGGCTCTCAGTCATTCTTTCAAGTAAAAACGGCATTCATTTCATGAGAAAGAGGCTAATTGAGCTCACAACTGAAACAAGCACATGAGAAGTTTACCTTGAGACAACCATTGTACTAAGCAGCACCAGTGCTTTATTCGTCATACTGAATATTAAAAAGATGTGTACTCGGCCGGACCCTTGGCTCTGTCTTCTGGTTGCAATCTCGCTCCCGTCCCCTTTGAACTTTACTTTTCCAAATCTAAGTTTTCTGCTTTCAGTTTATGGGCCCCAGAAACACATACCTAAGTACCTGTGCCTCTGCACAAACCCTCATGAGGACTCCATCTGAGCCATTTCCACCTGCTTCCTCCTCACTGTACACAGCTTCCTGAACAGCTCTTTGCTGTCAACTCCAGCCCTGGCCCAGGAGGGAGGAAGGGTGTGAAACGTGGATGATAGGTATGGTGTAGTTCAAACAGGATCAGAGAGAAGGGTTTGATTTTCATTGGAAGAGAAGTTCAGATGGGTATTTCAGGCAGAAAATAAGCCAAGTTTCAGATTTCAAACTTCAGAAGAGCAAATTTCAGTGTGGTCTGGAGTTTTGGGGAGCCTCTGAGACATTTCAGGGGATCCATAAGGTCAAAACGATTTTCATAATAATAATGATATGTTATTTGCCTTTTCCACCGTGAGATGTTTGCACCCACATTGCCAAAACGGTGGTGGGTAAAATTGTTTAGCATAAATCAAGGCAATGGCAACAAATTACTATTAGTCACTGTATTCTTCACTGCCAGACACAGGCAGTAACAAAGCACCAATGCCACTTAAGAATGTTTTTCACAGAGCAGTAAATGTTATTAATTTTATTAGCTCTCAAGTCTTGAGTACACATCTTTTTTTATTTTTATTTTATTTTATTTTATTTTTTGAGACAGAATCGCACTCTGTCGCCCAGGCTGGAGTGCAGTGGTGTGATCTCAGCTCACCGCAAGCTCCGCCTCCCGGGTTCACGCCATTCTCCTGCCTCAGCCTCCCGAGTAGCTGGGACTACAGGCGCCCACCACCACGCCTGGCTAATTTTTTGTATTTTTAGTAGAGACGGGGTTTCACTGTGTTAGCCGGGATGGTCTCAATCTCCTCACCTTGTGATCCACCCGCCTCGGCCTATTGTTTTAAAAATAAAAAAAGATGTGTACTCAAGACTTGAGAGCTAATAAAATTAATAACATTTACTGCTCTGTGAAAAACGTTCTTAAGTGGCATTGATGCTTTGTTACTGCCTGTGTCTGGCAGTGAAGAATACAGTGGCTACTAGCAATTTGTTGCTATTGCCTTGATTTATGCTAAACAATTTTACCCCCCACTGTTTTGGCAATGTGGGTGCAAACATCTCACGGTGGAAAAGGCAAATAACATATCATTATCATTATGAAAATCATTTTGACCTTATGGATCCCCTGAAATGTTTCAGAGGCTCCCCAAAACTCCAGACCACACTGAAATTTGCTCTTCTGAAGTTTGAAATCTGAAACTTGGCTTATTTTCTGCCTGAAATACCCATCTGAACTTCTCTTCCAATGAAAATCAAACCCTTCTCTCTGATCCTGTTTGAACTACACCATACCTATCATCCACGTTTCACACCCTTCCTCCCTCCTGGGCCAGGGCTGGAGTTGACAGCAAAGAGCTGTTCAGGAAGCTGTGTACAGTGAGGAGGAAGCAGATGGAAATGGCTCAGATGGAGTCCTCATGAGGGTTTGTGCAGAGGCACAGGTACTTAGGTATGTGTTTCTGGGGCCCATAACCTGAAAGCAGAAAACTTAGATTTGGAAAAGTAAAGTTCAAAGGGGACGGGAGTGAGACTGCAACCAGAAGACAGAGCCAAGGGTCAGGGCAAAATGGTGGGGATCAAGTGAGTGGAACCGACCAGAAGAGAAGTTGTAAGGCGTAGTTAGCGGAAAGACAGTCTACACAATCATGAACTCTAGAGAACATGGGCAGATCTCTAAAACATTGTGGAGAAACATAGAGCCAGGAGGTAAAAAGTGCAGAATATCTATATTCTTTGGACCAAAAACATGAGCTGAGCCAAGAGTCCAGGGTTTGGCAGAGATTTCACAAAGCCTGCCATTATTTCTCTACCACTTCCTAATGGCCCTGTCAGTGGAACCCCTCTCTAGGGAAAATAACATTGTAATAAGGAAAACACACATACATATGAAGCTAACAATAAATGTTGTCTAGTTGATTCCATCTTGGGGAAAGTCAGGGAATAATTGCAATGGAGAGTGGAACTATGCATAGATAAATAATAGTCCAGGCGTGGTGGCTCACGCCTGTCATCCCAGCACTTTGGGAGGCCGAGGTGGGTAGATCACTTGAGGTCAGGAGTTCAAGACCAGCCTGGCCAACATGGTGAAACCCCGTCTCTACTAAAATACAAAAAAAAAAAAAATAGCCAGGCATGATGGCACGTGCCTGTAGCCCCAGCTACTCGGAGGCTGAGGCAGGAGAGTTGCTTGAACCCAGGAGGCGGAGGTTGCAGCGAGCCGAGATTGCACCACTGCACTCCAGCCTGAGCAACAGAGCGAGATTCTGTCTCAAAAAAAAAAACAATAAAAAATAAAGAAATAAAGAAAAGATAAATAACACAGTTATGAAGGAAAAGAGTGTGAGTTCCACAGAAAGGTTAATTGAGCCGAAGTCATTAACAAAGGGTTTCTGGGTATGCCCATGGTGTCTGTCCCTGACATTCGTTAAAGTCAGTGTAAGTTGGACACCACCTGGTCGCACAACTGTATTGCTGTACCCTTCTACTCATGAGCAGTGCTGCCTGGATGAAACCTCGAAGGGATTCAAGCATTTAACTGAGCCAGCTGCCTCCATCATGTTCTTAGTGCTTCCTAAGGCCCAAGGGGGTTCATGAGAGTAGAACTGTGAGCCAACAATTGAGGGAGGGCTTGAGGGTTTTAGACAGTTGCTTTGAACACTGATTAGCAGACAAATATCTGTGCACAGGGGCAATGCGGGGCCCCTCATTGACACAGAACAAGCCTCTGAGGGCGGACCTCCTGAATATATCAGTATAGGTTAGGGCAGTATAATCTGGAGTTCACTGTGGGGGCTCAGCACCTAGAACAGGAAAAAAAAAAAAACCCTGAGGCTGGACTGGTCATTGGAATTGGTAAGGAAGAGGCAGAGCCAGGAGGAGGCAATGGGAAGGAATTTAAACATGACAGAACATGGTGACCCAGGAACATGGGTGATAGAACTCAGAAGCTTATTAGGAGCAGTGGTGGGCATATGGGTCCTGCATTAGCCTCCTAGGTGGCTTAAAACAACAGAAATTTATTCATTGACAGGTCTGGAGGTTAGAAGTCCAGAAGCAAGGTTCAGCAAGGTTTGTTCCTGCTGGGAGGCTCTGAGGAAGAGTCCGTTCCATGCCTGTCTCCTAGTTTCTGGTGTTGCCTGCAATTCTTTTTTTTTTTTTTTTTTTTTTTAAGATGAAGTTTCCCTCTTGTTGCTCAGGCTGGAGTGCAATGGCACGATCTCGGCTCACTGCAACTTTTGCCTCCCGGATTCAAGCAATTTTCCTTCCTCAGCCTCCCGAGTAGCTGGGATTACCGGTGCCCACCACCACGCCCAGCTAATTTTTTGTATTTTTAGTAGTGACAGGGTTTCACCATGTTGGCCATGTTGCCTGCAATTCTTGGTGCACCTTGACCTGTAGATGCATCTCTCTAATCTTTGTCTCCATCATCACATGGTGAACTCTCTGGGTGTGTCTCTTCTCCTCTTCTTATAAGGGCACCAGTCCTGTTGGTTTAGGGCCCTCTCTAACGACCCTATATCAATTTAATTGTATCTGCAAAGATCCTATTTCTAAATAAGGTCACATTCACACATAAAGAGTATGAGGGCTTCAACATATCTTTGGGGGTGAGAAGGACAACCCTGTGGGTTGTGGGTTCTGTTGAGCAAAGCTGGCAAGACCAAAACAGAGGAATCCTAGACCTCAGAGTGCCAGAGTATGCAGTAAATCAAGATCGGGCACTCAGGAACAAGGCAGGGGGTCTAGGTCAGGATGGGACCAGCATCGGGGCTCCTTCTGGGCTGAGTCCCTTCCTCCAGGCTACTGAAACCCCCACTTGTCTGGGTCTGTCTAATCTTGCAGGTGTCAGGCAAGAGGGCCCTGCTATGAGGAGAGAAGAGCTGGGGGCCAAGGACTGGAGCAGGAAGGGACCCAGTCAAGGCCAACACTGACCCCAGAGGATGAGCCCCTGGGAGGAATCGTCTCTTCATGATGTAGACTCCCACGCCCAAGTTTTGCCTGTAAAACTAGAACAGGTTCCATCCATGCTGAACTGCCCGCCCTTTCTCATCTTGGTTTCCCTCTGCAGTGACTCACTGGTCTGAGCACGTTTCTCCCCACATCAGGGATGGGAAGCACGGAGAAGACCGTGGTCCAGCGCCCTCTGAAGTCATTGGCGACCGCGATGGAAGTAGTTGGGGGTCGACAGTAAAGTTGGAGACTGAAATTATTTGAGCTCTTAAAATGGGATAATAAGGTAACTTTCCTCCTCCTGGTATGAGCTCATTTAATTGTAAAGATCTTAATAAATTCAGCCTGATTAACTCCAACCTTGTGGGGGAAGGTTATTCAGTGTTGTGGAATTTATTTTAAACAGAAGCAAAAAAACAAATTGGAGCGAGAAGAAAAAATCTTTAGTGCAGGATAAGGTGGGAGGGAGGTGTGTGTGCAGGAAGCCACGAATGGGGAGCACTCACTGAGCCTCCTCCAGAAACCACACCAGGGCCCTTGAATGATCAGTTACTTTCTCAAACATGGTGGAGCCTCAGGTAACTCCCCCCAGCTGGGGCCAGCTTGATTTGTACACACCCCAGCGCTAAAGGTAAAGTGTGAACCCCTCAGGGGTCCGCAGGAGTGTCCAGGACCCCTGTCCTGCTCAGTCTCCACCTGTCCACCCCAGCCTGGTGTTCTCTTGGCCCTGAGTAGTTTCTTATCCATGCTTCCACTGGGCTTAGGAGCCAGGCAACCATGGCTTTGCTTTCAGGCTCTTTTTACTGGTTGCCTAAACGTAGGTAAGTTTCTCTCTTTGGATGTCAGTTTCCTAATGAGGGCAATATTCTTCATTGCAAGGATTAGGTACACATGGAGTACTTAGCCGAGTTCCAGGAGCATACCAGCTGTTACTACTATTGCTGCCCTGTCGTTGGTCTTGCTGTGTACTTTCTGTGGCTTTCCACCCCTGTTGTCCCCATGGACTCTGGCCGAGAGGTAGCCCCTGGCTCTCCCCATCTCAGACCTCCCTGTTCAGCTGCTTAAGCGCCCAATATTGGCATGGACCTACAGGTCAGCCTGAGCAATCTGAAAAAGGAAGTCCATTCGTCAAAATACCATTCACACAAGCCAGGCACTGCACTCGATGTATGATAGGCATTATAGCTAAGCCTCGGGGCAGTCTTAGAATCCTATTCTAGAAAATGGGGATAGGGGAGTTTAGAGAGGTTTAATGGCATGTGTTTGAAGCTGAGGAAGCCTAGTTCTTTACCTACACCCACACCCATAGTCCCTGTGGCTTCTAAACAATTTGAGAAATTGAAATAAGCACTATTCAAACAGCCTCTGCTCTACTGCCCAAAGTTCAGGGCTGCCTTGTAAAGTTGGATTGGAGAACATGGCTCTGACCAGAGGCAGAAAGAGGACTTTCTACTCCTTTTCCTTGAATTTAGTTGACCCTGGTCTAGGTAGAGTTGCTGGGCAACATTAGACCTCCCTGTTTAGGGCTGGGAGGGACCAAAATGGGGACAGATTTCTGCCCGATGACCTCAACCCATGGGAGATAAAAGCCCACTGCAGGGTGAGTGGGGCTCAGGTTAAGCCAGAGGGCGCAAAAACCCACAGCTGGGACCACTTGGGTTTATTGCACAGCCCCACCTCGGTGGGAGACAAACCTGAGACACAGGTATCATTCTCCAGCCACCGTCCAGCTGTGTGCCTTGACTCTTCCTCTTTGCTGAGCAGCAGAGCCCCTGACTTGCTGGCCACTTTCTGCATCTGAAAGTCAGCCGGGTTTAAAACACACAATTCAGATCTGATTCCAAGTTCTCACCATGAAGTAGGAAGAGGGCTCCTTTTGCTCCTTTGCTCCTCCCACTCCCTTCTTTGGAGCAAGAAGAGGTAGGTTCTGCCTCTAAGACATTGCCTCCCCTCTGTGGCCCAGGCTGCAGACATCTTTCCCTAAGCACCCTTCACTACACAGCCTCTGCACGTTAGTTCAGCCCTGGACAAGCCACAGCTGTAGGTATCTCTGCTACTCAAACAAGGATGAAGCAAGAGGCCAGGACACTGAGGATGGTGGGCAGAGGTGGATGAGGATCCCAGAGTCTTGTGGCCAGAAGAAACCCTCAAGGGCACTCAGCTCGCCTTCCCATCATAATTATTTCTTGCATGTCCCATGTTCTTTCCTACCATCATCCCCACCATCATTGTCTCTTTCCTGAGCCTTTGCTGTTACCTCCAAACCAGCAGAGCTGCCACCCACAGTCATTTGGGTCATGTCTTGTTGGAGACACCAGGCCTGAGGGTGAATGGGGCTGAAATCCAGCCACACAAGTCTGACCTGGACAAGCCCTGCATCTGTCGAGAAAGGCTCTTTTCATGCCTCGGTCTCCCCACAGGGGGTACCTAGTTCTAATTCACATCACGCATGTGCACAAGGGCTCAGCCACCTGATCTCCCCGCATCCAGCCTTGCCTTCACTGCTCTCCCCATCCCGTTTTCCACACCCCAAATCCATCTTCCACGCAGCAGAGTGGTCTTTCAGAAAGCACTCATCTGACCATATCGCTCGTCTGCTTAAAATCCTTTAAGAACCCCTCACTGCCCTCAGCATCAATTCCAAACTCTTCGCCTGGTCTTGTGAAGCCCTCTATGATGGACCACTGACTCTCAACCCCTCCCTCACCCTCTCCCACAACACTTTTGCCCCAGCTGAGCTGAACTTTCCACTTCTCCATATGGCAGATGTGGCTCTCTCAGTCGCACATTTGCATATGCTGCCTCCTCTACCTGAAATGCTTTCTCCTCCACATCCCTTTGCTTGGCCAACTATTGTCCATCCTGTATGTCTCAGATTATAGGACCCCTTCTCAGGAGGTCTTGTCCTAACAAGGTTAATGTGGATTTTTTTAAAAGCACCATTTAGTCAGAGTTGTTGTTTAACCAAGGGTTATGAGCCATAAGCAATCAGGGAATTTCATTTATTGGTTACAACCAGCATTTTTTAAAAGATGAAATTGAGTAGAAGAAAATAGAATAAAGAATACCAGTGTGAATTTCACTGTATTTGGTAAAACTGTTGAAAGTGCCTATGTGTACACACGTGTGCCCTGGGTTGTGATATACAATGTTTCTCACTGTGGATAATGGTCCAAATCTTTGGAAGCCACAGCTGCAGGCGTCTCGCTGCCCAGCCCAGGCTGAGAATGATTGCTTTAGTTTTTCAGGGCTCCTAGAGTCGTGGAATTGTTGACTGAAGTAAATGATCAGGACAGGAAGGAAGCAGCTGCTCGCACTGTTTCTGGTTCCAAATGGTAGCTGCCGCTGAAGTGCTCTGGCTATGCCCACATTTTGTGTTTCTGAGGCTTCAGCCTCCCTTGACAACAACCACCCCCAGGTTCTCAGTCCTCCCCCTACATATCCAGCCTATAGAATTTGCTTAGTAGATGTTAGTGGCCCAGATGTGTGTCTGTTGGCTGGTGAGTATGTTGCAAGTACATCACAGGGCAACTACTTTCAAAAACAGGTTGACTCTCAGATGGCGATGATAGAAGCTGTCTTCAGCTGCCAAATTTCACTGTACCCCAACCAGGAAGCTCTCGTGGGACCTACTCATGGCAGGTAGCTCGTACTTGGCCTTCATGTCACCACTGTAGCCTGTGACTGAGAGGCTCTGCTGGGTCGCCAATGTGATGTATACCTTTCTTCAGATCCAGGTCCACTGGCTCCCTGAGAACAGCACTTAGCAGACTCCCACAAACAAGGACATTCATCTTTGTCAGCCCTAATGAACCACATTTGTCAGACAGGAACCAGAGAGCAGCTGTGTTGGAGGGAGACAAATCACTTAATCCAAGCCTCCTGATGTGGCAGCCCCTGGCGTGAAGGAGATCATAGCATTTAACTACAGAGGGGCCTGGAGGACTCAAGTGGGGGGAGGGCTGGTTGCCCTCAACTCTTCCTATCAGGAGCGAGTGTGTGAGCTGCCTAATGAATTGGCTGGTGCTTCTCTCCTGGATGCTTCACTTGGCTCTGGGGATGTGCACCCTGCAGATACCTGGGCAGGAAGAGAGAGACAGGAGGTGGCAGCCTCTGTTCCCAGCCTGATGCAGGCTCTAGAAAAATGACTGTGTTCAGAGTCGTCTCTTCTGGTCCCACCAAGTTGCTCCCATTTAAGTGTTTATGAAAGACTCTTGGATGCAAAGGACAGAAACCCATCTCCAATGAGCTCAGGCCAAAGGGGATGGATTGACTCATGGACTCTGAGGTTGGACAGCTATGCTGCAACCAAGGTAGGGGTGCAGCTGGGCTCATGAACAAGTGTATCCAGGAGCTCACACATGACCTGGCACCTCTGCTGTCTCTCCATGCTTCTCTTGGCATGCCAGCTTTGTTCTCTCTCCCTGTAGACAAGCTTCCTCCATCACAGGGAAATTTTGACATTGACAGCTCTCAAATTTTACCTCTTAGGGCTCCCACCACTGGAAACGTTGATAGACGCTTTCTTTGGCCCCAAACTGAAGAGAGAGAGAGAGGGGAAAAAACACTCCCAGGAAAGAGCTCTGAACTCTGATTTGCCATTTCGGGGCAACTGCCAACACAGTCATATATGGCATGAGAGGTAGAGTCACCTAGGGCAGCTCCCATGTGAACCACATGGCTGGAATCAGAGAGGAACAATTATTGGGAAAAGGTGGGAGTCCTCAGCAGACATGCCCACTTTGATGGTCTTTGTCCTCACTTCCCCCAAATCCATATCCAACTCAACTCCTTCTTCTCTGTAACTACCTTCAGGTCCAGAGAGAGAAAACCACTCCTTTTCCTGAAGACACTGCAGAGAGTAAGATCAGGCAGAATGAGTGAGATTTTATAATGCTGCCTTCTACCAATCCAATTTTCGGGGCTATGTGTGACATTCAAAAGTGGCACCAGGACAAATGCTGGGCTTGCCAGGTAGTTTTACTTTGTTGATTTTGACAGTCAAATATCCCTGAGGCCAGGATCCTGGTGGACTTAGCATATTTACTAAGCTGCTCCTAATCTCCACTAGCCCTGGGTGCTCAGATACACCCAACAGAATAAGAATTGTACTTTTGAATGACAGTTCACTAACACAGTTGGCAAAAGCACTTCATATTCATTTTCTCAGCAGCTTTCAAATGTTTTCAACCATGAACCTCAGTAAAAACTACATCTTAAGAACAAAACAATACATTTTACATCATGATCCAGTACACAAATATTTTTACAAAACTAAAAGAAGTTTCAAAAAAATCGTACCTACCCTTATGAGACTGATAAGCCTTGATGTTTTTAAATTATGGTCTTTCTTTTCTATTCTATTTTTACAATGTCACTCAAATTTTTTCATGACTAAACCTACATTTTGATAAACATGTACAACCTCATTTATTCTTCCCACATGATTATCCTCATTGAGCAGTCATCTTTACAGCAAGAGCTCCAGGAAGAATGTACCTTCTGGATGCCAGACCCTAGTCTGGGCTTTTTATATGTGATCTCACTTAATGCTCTCAGTACTCCTATAAGGTAGGAGTTATTTTTTTTATTGCATGGATAAGGAATCTGAGGATCAGTTATTAAAATCAAATGTTAAACTGTTAAGTGGCAACACTGAAACCCATCAGACTATGAACCTCTTACTATCACCGCCTGGCTCTCCAAGACTTGGTAAGCCCCTGAGCAGAATCATATGCTGGGTAGATTAAAGATGACTACAAGGTCTTTGATACTCCTCCCATGACAGGTGGGGTCTAATCTCCCTCCTCTTAAATCTGGGCTGGGCTTAGTGATCTGCTTAACCAACTGATGACATGGAATGGATGTACTAAGGCTACTGAGGGTACATCAGAAGAAGCCTTGCATCATCTCCCTGGGTCTCTGGGCCTTCTCTCGAGGTGCCTTGGGCCATCGTGTGAGAAGTTCAGCTACCCTGAAACCACTATTCTGAAGAGACAATGTGTATATCCTCTGGTCAACAGTCCCAGCTCAGTTCAGTCATCCAGATGTCCCCAGCAAGAGGCCAGACATATAAGCAAAGTCGTCTTGGCCAAGCCAAACTAACCCAGGTGAAGCAGAAGAATCACCCAGCTGAGCCCTGCCCTAATTCCTTACCCATGCAATTATGAGACATAGTAAATTAGTTACTTGTCTCAAGCCACTAAGTTTTGGATATTTTGCTTACAGCAATAGATTGCCTGAACATGAGCTTCAAGAGCTCCAGACTACCATCAGCTTCCAGCAGAAAGGCTTTTGGGAGCTTGTGCTTTTCTGTCTGCAACTTAAGGTAGATTGGGTGAAGCCTCAACCCCACCATATGAATCCCGGTGAAAATGTGTTAAGGCCACTCCCCACCACCTTCCTTCCTCTTCTCTGTTGCTGAGGCTTCAAGTAAAGATTCTTTATGAGTCAATAAGACGCACTCAGTGAGGCCTTTGGAGTCTTCCCCAACCCATCTTGTACATGTTAATCTGCCCCATGGGTCACTAGCCTGAAGCATGGGTGCCTTTCAGACAGCAGGTGTCTGCCAACTGAGAGGACAAATGTGCTAGGTGTGAAAGTGGGCATAAATAATAGAAAAGCATTTTCTTGCATTTCTACATGAGTCTCAGGGTACCCTGACAGACAGCAGAGGGAGGCAGAAAAACAGCCCTGATATCAAAAAGGTTTTCTTCTTGAAAGGAAGCTTTGTAGCAACTGGGCCCAACACTATACAACGAAGGAAAAAAGGAACCCCAGGCAAACCACACCCCCCAGGAGTATGTACTGTATGGGATGGGGTTGGGAGGGTAGAGGGTAGTGGAGGAGGAGGTGCAGAAACTGTTTGTTAATATTTACCCAAATTAATAAGATGTTGAGCAACAGCTTCTACACAAAAGCCACAGTTAAAATTAGTAAGTAGTTCATCCTGTTCTAACAATATGGAATAATTAATTTCCATACTTGGCTTTTTTTTTTCCATAAGCAGTAATTAAAGAGAAATATTATATAGCTGCACCTGTCTTTCACTTTTGGCTTACCACAGTGAGTAAACCCAATCTTTTATTGATGAGAAGAGATGCACGTTGGGAACCCATAGGAAGAGCATCAAAACCCCTCCAGCCTTCCCTTGAGACGTGTGAGAAATCTCAAATTATTAAACCATATGGAGGCCGTACTGCGAGCGGACTGTTCCCACTGTGGGGATGAGGCCTAATTTCTAATTTCCCTCTGACTTTCAGCTCCTCTGAAGGTTTCAGGGCTGTTGAAGGAATAAGGCTTGTCTGCCGAGTAAGGAGACCCCAGTGAATTGGTTACCCCAAGGACAAAGACAGCTGATTTTTCTGCATCCTCTTTCTGCTGCCTTCTCACTGGGCCTGGATTCTCTGCCCCCAAGTGAGTGTGTCAGAAGAGGCCCCAGGGAGGACAGACCAAGTTCAAGTTCAGAGACTCCTGGTGCCGCTCTGTGGACTCCAGCCATCTCTAACTAGCTTATCTGTCCTTGTCCTCAGACAAAGGGCTTTCAGCCACACTGTTAAGGGAAGGCCAGAGCTGGAAGAGACAGGAGAGCTAATATTTGCACAGCACTTCACAGTTTATTCTTTACAGCTCTCACACTCATTATGCAAACTTACTTTGTTCTCCAGCTAAATCCCAGCAGGGAACCTGCCACTGCTGCTGCTTAGAAATTCTGGTTCCTGCCCTTGGTCTCTGATGCTGCCCTACAACCCAGGGACCCTGGACAAACAGGTGCCATGGTGAGGAACACCCTGCCCCACCTTGAACTCCAGTGGGTTTTGTTCCTGGAAATGGGCTGTGCATCAAAATAATGTGGGTGGCCTCTGGTATATCACTCAGGTGGGAACAAAGGTAATTAGAGGCAATGAGCCCTGATGGAGGACTTGGAGTATGCCTTTTCTTTTTTCTTTTTCTTTTACTTTTTTTTTTTTTTTTAGACGAAGTCTTGCTCTGTTACCCAGGCTGGAGTGCAATGGCATGATCTCAGCTCACTGCAATCTCTGCCTGCCGGGTTCAAGTGATTCTCCCACCTCAGCCTCCCAAGTAGCTGGGACTACAGGCACGCACCACCACATCCAGCTAATTTTTTGTATTTTTAGTAGAGATGGGGTTTCACCACATTGGCTAGCCTGGTCTTGAACTCCTGACCTCAAGTGATCTGCCCGCCTCGGCCTCCCAAAGTGCTGGGATTATAGGCATGAGCCACTGTGCCTGGCTGAAGTATGCCTTTTCTTGGACACAAACATGGGCATTGTTTATTCAACTCCAAATGATACAACTTGGGCTGATTAGTAAACACGCTTCCCACAGACTCTACAGTGACTGGTTGTGCAGCACCTGCCACACCGACATGTAATTTAACTTACTGCCTATAACCCCCCACTCAGTTGTGAGCTGTGTGAGGCCAGGAAACCATCTCACTCACTATCAAACGCCTTATACTGGGGCACAGGAGAGTTGCCCTGTAATGAATTGGTAAATTAACAACTGAGGATTTGAGAACCTTCTTTCTGAGCTGGAGCATTCTGTACTAAGACCCTCTTGTGACTTCTACTCCAGTAACTGTAGGGAAAGGAAGAAGGGGCTAAGTCCCAGGGGTTGTGGACTGCTTAGAATTCTTTCTGAGGTCACCATGAGCATAGCTACTGCTGCTGATACTCCCCTATTCTGTCTGTGGTCCTGATTCTTGGGATTTCCTTCTAAGCAGCAATGTCAGGAAGGATTACATAAGAGACACAGTAGGTAAGCCCCTGCACGGTTTATTACTTCCAGTGACTTGACTAGGGTTGGCGGAAGAAGCACCAGGTCCCTAGAACCCTAGGGGTGTCAGCTAAAGTTACCCCCGATAGGTGCACTCTTCTCCTAATGACATCATTATTTGTGGCACCCTCCCTCCCAAACTCCATCACTTCTCACTGTCTGGGTTCAACTGCGGTAGAAATGGTTTTCATTTGATTTTTATTTTATTTTATTTTTTTGAGATAGAGTTTCACTCTTATTGCCCAGGCTGGAATGCAATGGCACAATCTCCACTCACCACAACCTCCACATCCCGGGTTCAAGCAATTCTCCTGCCTCAGCCTCCTGAGTAGCTGGGATTACCAGAGTGCGCCACCACGCCTAGATAATTTTGTATTTTTATTAGAGATAGGATTTACTGTCTTGGCCAGGATGGTCTTGAACTCCTGACCTCAGGTGATTCACCCGCCTGGGCCCCCAAAGTGCTGGGATTACAGCACGCCCGGCCCTTTTTTCTTTTATTGTGACTCCTTACTTTAGTTTATTTTTTATTGGTACATATTAGATGTACATATTTTCAGGGTACATATGATAATTTAATTCATTCATATAATCAAATTAGGGTAATTGGAATATCCATTAACTTAGTTATCTTTAGGCTAAGAACATTTGAACTATCCTCTTCTAGCTATTTTGAAATGTACAATGGATGGATGTTGACTATAGTCACCTTACTGATCTATCAAATACCTTGTCTTATTTCTTCTAAGTGTATATTTGTCTTTTTCTCTTTCCTATGTCTATTAGTCCATTCTCACATTGCTATAAAGACATGCCTGAGACTCGGTACTTTATAAAGAAAAGAGGTTTAATTGGCTCATGGTTTCACAGGCTGTACAGGAATCACGGCTGGGGAGGTCCCAGGAAACTTTCAATCATGGCAGAAGGTACAGGGGAAGTAGATATGTCCTACATGGCTGGCTCAGGAGGAAAAGAGAGAGCAAGCAGGTGCTACACACTTAAAATTTTTTTTTTATTATTATACTTTAAGTTCTGGGATACATGTGCAGAACGTGCAGGTTTGTTACATAGGTATACACGTGCCATGGTGTTTTGCTGCACCCATCAACCCGTCATCTACGTTAGGTATTTCTCCTAATGCTCTCCCTCCCCTAGCCCCCCACCCCCTGGCAGGCCCTGGTGTGTGATATTCCCCTCCCTGTGTCCATGTGTTCCCATTGTTCAATTCCCACTTATGAGTGAGAACATGCAGAGTTTGGTTTTCTGTTCTTGTGTTAGTTTGCTGAGAATGATGGTTTCCAGCTTCATCCATGTCCCTGCAAAGTACATGAACTCATCCTTTTTTATGGCTGCATAGTATTCCATGGTGTATATATGCCACATTTTCTTTATCCAGTCTATCATTGATGGGCATTTGTGTTGGTTCCAAGTCTTTGCTATTGTGAACAGTGCTGCAATAAACATACATGTGCATGTGTCTTTATAGTAGAATGATTTATAATCCTTTGGGTATACACAGAACTCTCCACCCCAAATCAACAGAATATACATTCTTTTCAGCATCGCATCACACTTATTCTAAAATTGACCACATAATTGGAAGTAAAACACTCCTCAGCAAATGCAAAAGAATGGAAATCATAACAAACAGTCTATCAGATCACAGTACAATCAAATTGGAACTTGGGATTAAGAAACTCACTCAAAACTGCACAACTACATGGAAACTGAACAACCTGCTCCTGAATGACTACTGGGTAAATAACAAAATTAAGGCAGGAATAAATAAGTTCTTTGAAACCAGTGAGAACAAAGATACAACATACCAGAATATCTGGGACACAGCTAAAGCAGTGTTTAGAGGGAATTTTTTTTTGGCGGGGGGGATGGAATCTCACTCTGTCACCAGGGCTGATCTCAGCTCACTGCAACCTCCACCTCCCAGGTTCAAGTGATTCTCCTGCCTCAGCCTCCCAAGTAGCTGGAATTACAGGCACCTGCCACCACGCCCCACTAATTTTTTTTTGTATTTTCAGTAGAGACAGGGTTTCACCATGTTGGCCAGGCTGGTCTTGAACTCCTGACCTCAGGTGATCTGCCTGCCTTGGCCTCCCAAAGTGCTGGGATTATAGGTGTGAGCCACCATGCCCGGCCAGTGCTACACACTTTTAAACAATCAGATCTCAGGATAACTCACCCCTTATTGTGAGAACAGCACCAAAGGGGAAATCTGCCCCCAATATCCAATCACTTCCTACCAGGCCCCACCCCCAACATTGGGGATTACCGTTTGCTCTGCGATTCAGTCAGGGACACAGACCCAAACCATATCACTACGTAATAGTTATTCCCCGTCATAGGCAGAATAATAGCTCTCTAAAGATATCCACAGTTCTAGCTGACCTTAAAATGGGGTGATTACCCTGGATTAGCTAGGTAGGCCTGATCTCAAGGGTCCTTAAAGGTGGAAGAGGGAATCAGAAGAGAAAGCCAGAGATGAGGCTGCAGGAGAAGGAAGGGACTCGGCCTGCCAGTGCTGGCCTTGAGGTGGAGGAGGGGCACCAGCAATGAACAGGGAACATTTCTACACTGCTGGTGGGAATGTAAACTAGTACAACCACTATGGAAAACAGTGTGGGGATTCCTTAAAGAACTAAAAGTAGAACTACCATTTGATCCAGCAATCCCACTACTGGATATCTACCCAGAGGAAAAGAAGTCATTATACCAAAGATACTTGCACATGCATGTTTATAGCAGCACAATTCGCAATTGCAAAGACATGGAACCAACCCAAATGCCCATCAATCAACGAGTGGATAAAGAAACTGTGGTATATATATATGATGGAATACTACTCAGCTATAAAAAGAAATGAATTAATGGCATTCGCAGTGACCTGGATGAGATTGGAGACTATTATTCTTAGTGAACTAACTCAGGAATGGAAAAATATACATCATATGTTCTCACTCATAAGTGGGAGCTAAGCTATGGGGATGCAAAGGCATAAGAATAACACAATGGACTTTGGGGACTCGGGGAAAGGGTGGGAAGGGGATGAGGGATAAAAGACTACAAACAGCATGCAGTGTATACTGCTTGGGTGATGGGTGCACCAAAATCTCACAAATCACCACTAAAGAACTTAACTTATGTAATCAAACACCACCTGTTCCCCAATAACCTATAGAATTTAAAAAAATTTTAAATTTAAAAAAGAAAAAGAAGAAAAATAATAAAATTAGAGATGAAATTGAAAGCAGGAAGTCTGTTTTTGTACCAGTACCATGCTGTTTTGGTAACGATAGCCTTGAAATATAGTTTGAGGTCAAGTACAATTATGCCTCTGGCTTTGCTCTTTTTACTTAGAATTGCTTTGACTATTGGGACTCGTTTTTTGTTTCATATAAATTTTAGAATTTTTTTCTAATTCTGTGAAAAGTAATATTGGTAGTTTGATAGGAATGATATTGAATCTGTATATTGCTTTGGGCAGTATGGACATTTTAATCATATTGATTCTTCCAGTCAATAAACATGGGATGTTTTTACCTATGTTTATATTATCTGTTATTTCTTTCAGCAGTATTTTGTAGTTCTCCTTATAGAGATCTTTCACCTCCTTTGTTAGATGTGTTCCTAGGTATTTTATTTTTATGGCTTTGGAAAGAGAATGGGTATTCTTGAATTGTCTCTCTGCTTGAATGTTACTGAGATATATATAAATGCTATTAATTTGTGTACATTGATTTTATATCCTGAAACTTTACTGAAGTCATTTATCAGCTCTAGAAGGCTTTTCATGGAGTCTTTATAAAACATTTGTCATAAGTTTTAATAGCAATAATTGGAAAAAAATAGGAATTATCATCAAGATTCATAACTAGGCCTTGGACAGGCATTAAGAATTTTCTGATCGTCCCCTCTAAGACTTATCTTTGTCTTGCCTCATACTTGACCACTGTCCTGATTCTTTGTATATTTTTGTATCTTTACCATCTGTTACTTCTAATTCTCAATGCTCTTTTCATTTTGCTTTCTTTGAACATTCTATGAGTATTAGTAAAATTTAAGTGAAAGGGTAAAAAAAAGCAGGAAATTAATAAAGAAAATCAATGAAACCAAAAGCTTGTTCTTTAAAAGTTCAATAAAATCAACAAGCCTCTAGCCAGGCTAAGAAAAAAATGAGAAAGGGCACAAATAACTAATATCAGAATTGAATGAAGAGAATCACTACAGATCCTATGGACATTAAAAAGATCATAAAGGAGTACTAACAACAACTCTATGCCTACAAATTTGATAATCAAGATGAAATGGAATGATTTCTTGAAAGACATAATCTGCCAAAACTCACACAAAAAGAAATAGACAATCTGAACAGGCCTATGTCTATTAAATAAGTTAAATCAATAATTAATAACTTTCCAAAACAGAAAGCATCAGGCCCCAGCTGATTCACCGGCAAACTCTACCAAACATTTGAGGAGGAAATTACACCAATTCCCCATAATCTCTTTCACAAGACAGAAGCAAAGAGACTACTTCCTAATGCATTCTATGAGACCAGCATTACCCTAATATCAAAACTAAACAGTCATTACAAGGAAAGAAAACTAGGTACCAGTATCTCATGGACATAGATGCCAAAATCGTCAACAAATATTAGCAAGTCAAATCCAACAACATATAAAAATAAGCATACACCAGCCGGGCACCGTGGCTCACGCCTGTAATCCCAGCACTTTGGGAGGCTGAGGCGGGCAGATCACGAGGTCAGGAGATCGAGACCATCCTGGCTAACACGGTGAAACCCCATCTCTACTAAAAATACAAAAAATTAGCCGGGCAAGGTGGCGGGCACCTGTAGTTCCAGCTACTCGGGAGGCTGAGGCAGGAGAATGGTGTGAACCCCCAGGGGGTGGAGCTTGCAGTGAGCCGAGATCGTGCCACTGCACTCCAGCCTGGGCGACAGCGAGACTCTGTCTCAAAAAATAAAATAAAATAAAAATAAACATACACCACAACCAAGTGAGATTTACACAAGGCTGGTATGACATTTGAAAAATCAACAGATACAATCCATAACATCAATAAGCTAATGAAATATCACGTGATCATATCAATAGATGCATAACAACCCCTTGACAAAACGCAACACCCATTCATAATAAAAAAAAAATCTCAGTAAGTTAGGAATAGAGGGGAACTTCCTCAACTTAACAGGAAATATTTATTTAAAAAAAAAACTATAGGTAACATCATACTTAATGGTGAAAAACTCAAAGTCTTGCCATTAAGATCAGGAACAGGCCAGGCGCGGTGGCTCACGCCTGTAATCCCAGCACTTTGGGAGGCTGAGGAGGGTGGATCATGAGGTCAGGAGATTGAGACCATCCTAGCTTACACAGTGAAACCCTGTCTCTACTAAAAATAGAAAAAAAAAATTAGCCGGGAGTGGTGGCGGGCGCCTGTAGTCCCAGCTACTCGGGAGGCTGAGGCAGGAGAATGGCATGAACCTGGGAGGCGGAGCTTGCAGTGAGCCGAGATCAGCCACTGCACTCCAGCCTGGGTGACAGAGCAAGACTCTGTCTCAAAAAAAAAAAAAGATCAGGAACAACTCAAGAATGTCCCCTCTCACCACTTCTTTTTAACATCATCCTGGAAGGCCTAGCTAATGCAATAAAACAAGAAAATACAATAAAAGGTATACAGATTGTGAAAGAAGAAATAAAACTGTATTTTAACGCAGATGATGTGATTATCTATGTAGAAAATCCAAAAGAATGGACAAAAAAAAGCCCCTGGAACTAATAAGAGATTATAGCAAAGTTGCAGGATACAAGGCTAATATATAAAAGTCAATCATCTTCCTACATACCAGCTATAAGTAAGTGGAACATAAAATTAAAAACAGCACCATTTACATTAGCATCCCCCAAGAGAAATACTTATTTACACATCTAACAAGATAGGAACAAGATCTAAATAAAGAAAACTGCAAAACTGATGAAAGAAGTCAAAGAACTGAGTAAATGGAGAGATGTCTCACGTTCATGGATAGAAAGACTCAATATTGTCAAGATGAGCATTCTTCCTAACTTGATCTATAGATTCAATTCCATCCCAATCAAAATCCTGACGAGTATTTTGTGGATAACAACAAACTAATTCTAAGGTTAATATGGAGAGGCAAAAGGAACAGAATAGCCCATACAAGATTGAATAAGAATAAGGTTAGGGGCCTAACACGACTGACTTCAGGATATACTATAAAGCTACAGTAGCAAAACAGTATGGTATTAGTGAAATAATAGACAAATAGATCAATGGAACAGAATAGAGAGCCCAGAAATAGACCCGTGTAAATATAGCCAACTCATCTTTGACAAAGAGGCAAAGGCAGTACAATGGAGGAAAGAGTCTTTCCAACAAATGGTGCAGAAACAACTGAACATCCACATGCAAAAAAAAAAAAAATGAATCTAGCTACAGACCTTACATCTTCTATGAAAATTATCTCAAAATAAATCATAGATCTAAACATAAAACACAAAACTAAAACATTCTTAGAAAATACCATAGGAAAAATCTAGATGATCTTGGGTTTGGTGATGACATTTTTAGATATATCCAAGGCAGAAACCATGAAAGGAAGAATTAATAAGCTGGATTTCATTAAACTTGAACATTTTTGCTGTGTGAAAGAAACTCTAAGAGAAGGAAAAGCCACAGACTGAGATAAAATATTTACCAAAGATATATCTGATAAAGGACTGTTATCGAAAATATGTAAGAACTCTTAAAATTCAACTATAAGAAAACAATCTGATTTAAAAACGGGTCAAAGATCTTAACAGATACATCACAAAAGAAGATATACAGATGAAAAATAAGCATATGAAAAGATGCTCCACATCATATGTCATAAGGGAAACGCAAATTGAAACAACAATTAGATACCATTACATGCCTATTAGATACCATTACACACCCATTAGATACCATTACACAAATCCCAGAACACTGACAACACCAAATGCTGATGAGGATGTGGAACAACAGGAACTCTCATTCAATGCAAAATGGCACAGCTACTTTGGAAAAGAGCTTGGTGGTTTCTTTAAAAACTGAATATACTCTACCATATGATCTAGCAATCATACTCCTTGGTATTCGCTCAAAGGAACTGAAAACGTATGTCCACAAAAAACCCTGCACATGAATGTTTGTAGTAGCTTTATTCGTAATTGCCAAAACTTGGAAGCAACCAAGATGCTCTTTAGTAGGTGACTGACTAAACCGTGGTAGTATATTTAGACAAAGAAATATTCAGCACTAAAAAGCGATTAGCTATCAAGCCATGAAAAGATAGGAGGAAACTTAAATATATATAACTAAGTGAAAGAAGCCAATCTGAAAAAGGCTTCACACTGTATGATTCTGACTATATGACATTCTGAAAAAAGCAAAGCTATGGAAATAGTAAAAAGATTAGCAGTTGCCAGGTTTTAGGGAGGATGGAGGAATGAATAGGCTGAACATAGAGGATTTTTAGGGCAGTAAGACTACTTACTCTGTGTGATACTATAATGGTGGATATGTGTCAAAACAAATTTGTCCAAACCAAGAGTGGACCCGAATGCTAACTATGGACTTTAGATGATAACGATGTGTCAATATAGGTTCATCAGTTGTAACAAATCTAGCACTCTGGTGACCAGTGTTGATAATAGGGAAGCATTATGCATACGTGGGGATAGCACATATATGGGAAATATCTATACCTTCCTCTCAGTTTTGCTGTGAACCTAAAGCTGCTCTAAAAACTGAAATCTGTGAATGAAACAAAGGAAGGAAGGAAGAAGGAAGGAAGGGAGGGAGGGAGGGGCTGACACATTACTTAAAGATTCAACAAAAGAAAAATGGTTATGTATAGAAAATCCCTATGGTAAAATGCTATGCGGCCAATGAATGTGAATACAAAGACATTATTTTGGAGGGCAAGATACCTTTGATATAAAATTGTATATCCAGAATGATTGAATGTGTATAGATAAAAATTAAAGAATACCTGAATTGAGGAATTCTAATGTTTGCTACTTTCTTTGTTATACTTTTCTGTTTTCTGAAATTTCCAAAATGCTCACATACTACTTTTAGAATCATGAAACAAACAAACAAACAAACAAAACAAGGATTTGCTACTTTCTTCAGGCCCTTGAAGAGTCGGTTTCCTGAAACCCATGTCCCTCGTTAACCCAGTTGAGGTTTACGAAGCCAGCTCCAACACCCTCCCTGTCAACCCTTGCCTGGCACAGCCCAGCAGGAAAATTGCCTGGTTCTAATTCCAAATTCCACTAAAAACACCACAGCTGCTGCTGGTTGGAGCTTTTCTTCTGAATTCTCAACACAGCAGATGCAAAACCTTCCCCACGCCTTTGATTCTCTTCTGCACTGCCAATCTCTCTTTTTATGCAAACACTAAATATATTTTAATGGATCTAGATTGTTACTGATGTAATTAATCCAAGATTAGGATACTGTAGGCACCATCAGCTGAGTTCCCAAACTGAGTTCAGGAACTCACAAGTCTCCACAAAACGATGGATATAAATCTAGTCCAGTCTTGAGAGTCATCTAAGTTCAGAATGGGAATCTAATTCCATCTTGGTTAAACACTAAAGATAATTTATCATCCCTTCAAAATGAAAATCCCAGAGGTATGCAGGCTTCAGGCACAGTTTGATCCAGTAGTTCATGGTGGCTCAGGACTCTGGTCCTGTTTTCTCTGCCATGTTCTGGGCTGAGTTTCATCCTCAAGCTGGCTTCCCTTGGGGCTGCAGCAATCTGGTGGGTCTCTCGTCCACACAGTGGCCCATTCAGAAGAAGAGAGGATGTCATTGTCCCAACATCCCCAAGAGGAGTACTATTTGCTCTGATTGGGCTGGCTCCGGTCAGGCACTCACCCCTGAACTGTGACCAGCAGCATGGAATCCATTGATAAGCGTAGACCAGTCATGGGCCCCCATCATAGCTGGCAGAGCAGTCAACTTCCCCTGAACCACATGGACCCCCAAACAGAAATTCAGCTTCTAGAAAGAAAAAAGTGGATGTTGGGGAAAGAAAAAAGTGGATGTTGGGAAGGTTACCACAAACGTCCACCATAGGAATACTGTTTTTTGACATTGCTTTTTGGGAGTCTATCTAAAGAGTTATTTTTGCAAGTGTTAACTACAGAAACACATATGGATGTTCGACTCTAGTGCTTCATTCAGAAAATGTTTACCATTCATTTACAAATCTACAGAAGTAAAATATTTTAATATGTATAATTTAATATTGTGATAAAAATGTGGTATTTCATTGTTTCTGGCATTTCAAGACAATTAATATCTAAAGGATATTGATTCAAAATACTTCAATGGCCCAAGGAAGCAAGGATTAGAAACCTATTGCAGCTTTTCTTTTGGGAAAGAAAAGAAAAGATGGGTTTAATAAATAGACCTGTGAAAATCTATTCATAAGGATAGACTCCTCCCTCCGGGTCCTACCAGCGTTTGCTCATTTTCCCCTCTGCCTCCAATGCCTCTCCCGCTTCCTGCTCACAAGTCAACAGCCTTCTCGCTTCCCCTCCTTTGGGAAACCTTCCCAGTCCACTCACCACTTTGCAGAATCCGTGGTGCTCTCCCATGGCCCCCACCAGAGCTGGCCACCTCTCACGGAATGACCACACTGACTTTTTATTACAGGGTGTGGTGTTCCTGTCTGCTACCCTGTAGAACATAATAACTTCCAGAAAGAAGGATTTGGGTGAGGAAGGGTACTGCGGAGGATGATGATCAGAAGGAAATCCTGGTGGATAGAAGGGCCAAAGGATTTTTAACCACAAATTTTCAGCAAATCCTACCACACTGAACCCTTCCTGGTGATCTGCATTCTGGAGAAGTGGGGGAAGGAATCTCTGTTGCCACTGCGAACTGATGTGGCATAGGATGTAAGTGAGTCAAGGCAGAAAGCAGAACCAAAAGCACGTAGGAGACATGTAATCCCTTCAAGAGTCCCCAGAGATTTGGAGATGGGCACTGGGGTTTCTCCCGGCATGTGGTGGGAGTTCCAGCCAATTAGTCCTTCACGATTTTTTTTTTTAACTTTAAGTTCTGGGACACACGTGCAGAACATGCAGGTTTGGTACAAAGGTATACATGTGCCATGGTGGTGTGCTGCACCTGTCAACACATTATCTAGGTTTTAAGCCCCGCATGCATTAGGTATTTGTCCTAACACTCTCCCTCCCCTAGCTCCCCACCACCTGACAGCTCCCGGTGTATAATGTTCCTTCCCTGTGTCCATGTGTTCTCAGTTCTCATTGTTCAACTCCCACTTATGAGTGAGAACATGCGGTGTTTGGTTTTCTGTTCCTGGGTTAGTTTGCTGAGAATGATGGCTTCCAGCTTCATCCATGTCCCTGCAAAGTACATCAACTCATTATTTTTATGGCTGCATAGTATTTCATGGTGTATATGTGCCAAGGATCTAGAGCCAGAAATACTATTTGATACAGCAATCCCATTACTGCGTATATACCCAAAGGATTATAAATCATTCTACTATAAAGACACATACACATCTACATGTATGTTTATTGCAGCACTATTTACCATAGCAAAGACTTGGAACCAACCCAAATGCCCATCAATGATAGACTGGATAAAGTCCTTCACATCTTTTAGAGGATCATGTAACAGGAGGGGCAACCAACACCTGACAATTGAGTTGCCTTTTGGCAAGAAAAGAAATTGCACTTTAAAAAAAAAAAATTCCCCCGTTCCCAGTATGTAGAGATTTCCTGACACCCAAGGGGACATCGGCAAATGGTTTTTGAGAAGAACCGTCTGTCTGATTTCAGAAAAGTCTCTCTCTCTTTCTCTCTCCCACCACTAAGAAGAAAATGCCCACAGCTAGGCTGTATAGAAGCCACCCTCCACTGCTACCCTGAGCCCCTCCTGCCCCATCCCCTGTGAAAGCTGCTCTGGTACCCTCTGTGGCCACCTCCCACCCCAGGGTACCAGCAGCCCCTTTGACATTTAGAGCAGGGATCTTGAAAACTGCCAGCTGTGAATAAAATCCAACCCACCACCTACGTTCGTATGACATATTAAGATGGTTTGTACATTTCTAAATGGTTGGAGGAAAACAATTAAAAGATGAGTGATATTTCATGATGTGAAAATTACATGAAATTCAAATTTCAGCATCTATAAAGTATCCAATAAAAATTTACTGTAACACAGCCATGCTCATTCATTTACATATTATCTACAGCCGCTTTCATGCTACAATGGCAGAGCTGAGCAGTTGCCACAGATGTGGTCTGACCTGCAAAGCCAAAAATATTTACTCTCTGACCTGCTACAGAATTTGCTAAGCCCTGGTTTGGATCTTTAAACTTGGCTCTGCTCGGGCCGGGCGTGGTGGCTCACGCCTGTAATCCCAACACTTTGGGAGGCCAAGGTGGGTGGATCACCTGAGGTCAGGAGTTCAAAACCAGCCTGGCCAACATGGAGAAACCCCGTCTCTAATAAAAATACAAAATTAGCCAGGTGTGGTGGTGCATGCCTATAATCCCAGCTACTCGGGAGGCTGAGGCAGGAGAATTGCTTGAACTCAGGAGGCAGAGGTTGTAGCGAGCCAAGATCACAGCATTGCACTCTAGCCTGGGCAACAAGAGCGAAACTCTGTCTGAAAAAAAAAAAAAAAAAACTTGGCTCTGCTCTAAGAAATCTGACCACATCAGTGACCTTTCTCTCTCTCTCTGACCTCAACTGGGACAACTTCACTGTGGCAGAAGAAACAGAAAAGACCTGCATTCTAAAGCTGATATTCAGCTTCCCAAACTCATCTTTGATGAGGTGCATCTGCCCAACCTAGTGCCAGGTTAAGAGGCCACCTCAACACGACTCACCCATGAAGGGCAGAAGATTCAGAAACTGGCCTAGGCCAGGTGCAGTGGCTCATGCCTGTAATCCTAGCACTTTGGGAGGCCGAGGCAGGTGAATCACCTGAGGTCAGGAGTTCAAGACCAGCCTGGTCAATATGGTGAAACCCTGTCTCTACTAAAAATACAAAAATTAGCCAGGCATGGTGGCAGGTGCCTGTAACCCCAGCTACTCAGGAGGCTGAGGCAGGAGAATCACTTGAACGTGGGAGGTGGAGGCTGGAGTAAGCCAAAATCACACCAGTGCACTCCAGCCTGCGTGACAGAGCGAGACTCCGTCTCAAAAAAAAAAAAAGAGAAACTGGCCCATAGCCCAGAGGCTCTGCTCATTTCTGCCCATCAATCTCTCCCCTCCAGAAGCAGAAAACTCTCCTTGTGCCATTCCCCACCCCCCACACGTGTTTGTCCCCTGTGAGCCAGTCTGACCCAACTTTTACAGCTCCTGGACACCAAACATAGCCTGACCACCAAAGGAAGCCACCAGCTTTCGCAAACTCATTTGAAATTGAAAAGTGCTGATGAAATCACCCCCATTTCTGACTGAATGCTTTCCTTTCTTACAGAATAAGGCAGAAAGTTGAAGTTGCTATTCAAACTAGAAAGCTCCTTTTTATAGTTCAAATGAGGAGAGGAAATGATATAAAGTATGTTCTTGAAAGCTAATCAAACCCGCAGTTTTCCTTAGCCCTGACGCTTGGATTCACAGGAGGAAGGTGCTGGTTGGAAAGTGCCCTGGTACCCTGGAGACCAAGTGGCTTCACAGTGGCTTCGGAACCATTTTCAAACTGGTGGAGTTCGGCACCTGTGAGGTGTCCCGGAATGTGAGCTGGCTGTGCTGCCTCTCAGGCAGTCCCAGGATCGCACTGTGGAGGAGCTCAGGGTGGGGTGGATGCGGCCCTTCCTGCAAACCAGACAGATCCGGGTGTGATTCTCACTTTCAGCCAGGAAACTTTGGAAAAGTAACACCTCTCTCTTCCTCTCTGAAATGAGAATATTCCTAGCTTACCTCAAAGAAATTTGGGGGATTAAAGGAATGATATAATGTTTATGAGCACATGGCTCTGGCACGTGACACATCATTAACCCATCTTAAAACAGCCTCGGCCAGGTGCGGTGGCTTACACCTGTAATCCCAGCATTTTGGGAGGCTGAGGCGGGAGGACCACCTGAAGTCGGGAGTTTGAGACCAATCTGGCCAACATGGCAAAGCCTCATCTCTGCTAAAAAATAATAATAATAATACAAAAATTAGCTGAGTGTGGTGGTGTGCACCTGTAATCCCAGCTACTTGGGAGGCTGAGGCAGGAGAATCGCTTGAACCCAGGAGGTGGAGGCTGCAGTGAGCTGAGATCACACCACTGCACCGCAGCCTGGGTGAAAGAGTAAGACCCTATCCCAAAAAACAAACAAACAAAAAAACAAAAACAACAACAAAAACAAAAACAGCCAAGAAGGCAGTATCTTGTTTTCCTTGGGAATTTAAGCCACCTGGAAGTAGAAAAGTAAACTTTGTGTTTTCTTAGCACCTTTGCTTAAAACTTATGAAGACCATCTGCTCTGCTTCCCCCAACACTCACACAGACCTGAACACACTCCAACAGCAGTGACAATAACTACACTGTAACGTGTGCGGAGTACTTAACCAGGTGCCAGGGCAAGTGCTTTACATAATAATGTATTTAATTCTCATAAAAGCTCTACAAGGCAGGTGTTATTACTGTATTCCCCCACTTCATAGAGGAGAATCTGAGGCATAGAAAGGTGAAAATAACTAGCTCAAAGGTGGCAAACGCAGGATCAGAACCCAGACAATACAGATCCCAAGCCCATAACCTAAACCACGATGCTATATTGTCCTCAGCAAATAGATGGATAAATAGATGGGTGGACATGCAGATAGATAAGCAAATGAATAAATGAATTCGTTAATGCCTCACATGCACAGTGCCCAGGCTAAAGGCATATGCAGAAGTTTAGGGAGGTGACCTGCTAAGGGTTGGTTTGTGACTGCTGGGGATGAGGTGGCCAGTTGGAGTGGGAGAGAGTGCCCGCCTCCTGGGTCCATCCAATTCATTCACTTGGCACATCGTCCTCACCAAGCCCCTGAAAGCAAAATTCAGATCAACAGAGCAAGGTCTGGAGAGTGAGCGCTCAGAAGAAAGATGCTCTGAACAGCCCCAGTAGGTCACGCCTGCCATGAGCATAGTTTCAGATCCTAACTCCTATTCCACTGTTATTAAATGTCATTCTATCTCAGTGAACCCTATAGGAAGAGGAGGAAGAAAATCCTTTGTCTGAAACTCCCACGTAGGCTAAAAAGCAACTTGAGCCCCCTTGGGGGGATCCTCATTGCCCAACCCCACCAGCAGGGCCTAGAATTCAGCTCTCCTCTGACCGCTGATGTGAATGCCTGGATGCACCTTCAGAGGGCAGGGCTTCCTTCTCGAGCCTCAGGGGCAGCCAGAGACAAAGTGCATGTTGGCAAATGCTTTTCTAGTTCAATAATGCTGAGGTAAAGAAGCAGCACTGTTTGACTTGGGCTAATCTTCTCCCTACACTCAAGAAGATGCAGCCTCACCTAAGATTAGGTGGGTTTTGCAAGAGGAAGCATCTCTGCTGGAATGTGGCCACCTCTGGCAAGACTGACTGGGTCAGAGAAACATGTTCTACTATGAGACCCTAGGAGAAAAAGGAGAGATGGGAGGAAATATTTTATTGATCATTTACTTTGTTCCAGGCACTGGGCTGAACATTTTATTATTAGGCACAGTGGTAAGAGCACAGACTTGGGGCCAGAAAGACATTGGTTTGAGTCCCAGCTCTGGAAATTACACTTTATGATCTTACACAAGTTACCTTACTTATTTGTATCAGTTATCCATTGCTGTTTTTCAAACTACTTGAAAGGGCTTAAAACAGTAACAGTTTAGTTCATGAATCTGCAATCGGGACAGGGCTCAGCAGGGATGGCTCATCTCTGCCCCTTATAGATGAAGGATGGGAATTTATTTCAAATGGTTCACAGGCATGGCTGGCAAGTGGTTGCTGGCTGATGGATGGCTGGGAGTTCAGCAGGGCTTTGGGCCAGGAGCCTCAGTTGCTTGTCCTGCAGGTCTTTGCATGCCCTGCTTGGGGTTCCTCATGGTAAGCAAGTTCCACGAATGAACATACCAAGAGAACAAGCAGGGAGTGCATGCATCTTTATGACCTAGCCTCTAAAATCACATAGCACCACTCTGCCATCCTCTGTTGGTTGAGGCTGTCACCAAGGGCCACCCAGCTTCAATGGGAGGAGACATAGATCCTGCCTCTTGCTGGGGGAGTGGCAAGGTCTAGAAGAGCATGTGAAATGGGAGATATCTTTGTGGCCATCTTCAGAAAATACAACCTGTCACATTATCTGAACCTCAGTATCCTTACACGTTGTGTTCCTTCTTAAGTTGGCCAGGAAGAGCTATTACTTTTAGAAATAGAGGGCCGGTCATGGTGGCTCACGCCTGTAATCCCAGCACTTTGGGAGGCCGAGGTGGGCAGATCACCTGAGGTCAGGAGTTCGAGACCAGGCTGGCCAACATGGTGAGACCCTGTCTCTACTAAAAATACAAAAAGTTAGCCAGGCATGGTGGTGCATGCCTATAATCCCAGCTACTCAGGAGGCTGAGGCAGGAGAATCACCTGAACCCAAGAGGCGGAGGTTGCAGTGAGCCAAGATCACACCACTGCACTCCAGCCTGGGCAACAGAGTGAGACTCTGTCTCAAAAAAAAAGAAAGAAATAGGAAGTTATTATAATGAAAGGAGGTAATATAGTTTAAAACGAGACTAAATTCAGCCACTTGTAACTTCTAAAAGATAATGGAATAATAAAGCTCCATGCTGTTCTCTTCCACTAGAGTCTGTGATAGTAGAGACACTAATGAGCCTTAGATAATAAACGGAAGCTAAGTAGAAGGTAGAGAGTTACATTTTGTGCATGATAAAGTGGGAGAGGAGAACTGGATTTAGAGAAGGGGTAGTGCCCACGCAAGGAGACTTGAGAAAGCAGAAGTTGAGATATGCATGAAGCCAAGTGATGATACTGTAGGCTTCATCTGCCAACCCCATGCTCTCAACAAAATACGCTACATTCACCATACCTTGCATGTGGAGGTGCTTTTTGAGGAGTGAAGAAATTCTGGAAAAGGCACTGAACTTCATGTTTTATCAGTGTTAAGCAGAAGAAAGAGGACAGGAACAGGAGGTGAGATGGCAATGAGACTGGGTTCCCAATTGGAATGGGAATTTGGATCCCAATGGGACCTTGAGAAAATAAGATACTCCACCACACCCACAAAGAGAAATGCATAACAATGGAGAAGTTGGGCCCAATCCTTCTGCAATCCACCCCCAGCCTCAGAGAAGAGAGCCCTCAGGTATGATGTGGGTCACTCAAGAAACACTGTGCTTTTGCAGGAAAGTAGCCCAGGGTGCATGGGGTCCCAGTTGTCCCAAGCCAGGGATGTGTATCTGGTGACCTCAGGATCTCTGGTCAAGCAAGCTGCCTAGTCATTGTTCAGCCCACATTAAGCCTCCCCAAAGAGAGGATTTGATTGGATCTGCTAGGCATCACTCAGCATGGAGAAAAATTGATGTCACATCACATCAAGAAGACCTAGATTCCTCCTGTCTCACCCTTGTGCAGCTGCTTCTAACTTATGCACCTATCCTCATATGATTCCCACCAGCTGGGGAGATCAGGCTTACTCTCATTAACTGGTCTATTATTGAGCTTGGGTAACTAGAAGGGGTTTGTGAGGTGGTGGGGTAGTTGGGGCTATAAAACTCCATGGACAATCCCAGCAGGTTGAAGGACAACCATAAAAGTGGGGAAAGAATTCCAGCCGGCAGCACAGCACCTGGTATATAAATTAGACCTTGTCACTCCCCTGCTTAAAACCTTCCAATGACATCTCAGTACAATTAGAAGAAAATCCACACTCTTCACCATGATCTGCCAGCCCCTGTCACCCCTTTGGCTTCACCCCCCTTTTTTTTTTTTGCGACGAAATTTCGCTCTTTGTTCCCCAGGCTGGAGTGCAGTGGCGCAATCTCAGCTCACTGCAACCTCTGCCTCCAGGGTTCAAGAAATTCTCCTGTCTCGGCCTCCCAAGCAACTGAGATTAGAGGCACATGCCACCACACCCAGCTAATTTTTTCTATTTTTAGTAGAGACAGGGTGGTTTCCTCTTATTGGTCAGGCTGGTCTCGAACTCCTGACCTCAGGTGATCCAGCCACCTTGGCCTCCCAAAGTGCTGGGATTACAGGCAGGAGCCACTGCACCCAGCCAGCTTCACCCCTTTTACCCTCCTCTTACTCTAGTGAGGTTTCTCAGAGATATCAACATCATGCCCACCCAATGCCCTTGCATTTGATGGTCACTCTGCCAAGAAAAATCTTCACCCAGACTTTTGCATAACCAATCCATTGAACAAGCACAGTATGTAAGATGTGATCAAGATGCAACTTAATTTTTTGATAACCATGCACCTTTAAAATATATTCAGATTGGGCGAGGTAACTCATGCCTGTAATCCCAGCCCTTTGAGAGGTCAAGGCAGGCAGATCACCTGAGGTCAGGAGTTCGAGACCAACCTGGCCAACATAGTGAAACCCCGTCTTTACTAAAAAATACAAAAATTAGCCAAGCGTGGAGGCGCATGCCTGTAATCCCAGCTACTTGGGAGGCTGAGGCAGGAGAATCACTTGAACCCAGGAGGTGGAGGTTGCAGTGAGCCAAGATCACACTGTTGTACTCCAGCCTGGGCAACAAGAGTGAAACTTTGTCTCAAAAAAAAAAAAACCATGTATTCAGTAGTGGTCATCCTCACCCATCCCTGGATAGAAACTCATACTAAACTTCTCTGTGTACTCTCAGGCAAGGGACAGTCCTATGGTCATTTTCCATCATAAAACACTATTAGATTCAATCATATGAATGTGTCCAGCCCAATCTATTAATTAGTGCTTCAATCTCTACTCAAAGACTTCTCCCTTTCCTTCATACCTAGACTTGTGTCTGGAGCCCCTGTCTTTGAGGACGGGACATAGTCATCTCCAACTCTCTCTCTGCTCTCCTCTCTTCCTCCCCCTACTTGCTAGCCGCTGTTTCAAACCCTGCTAGAGTGAAAATTGTGGTGGCGGGAGGAGTAAGGAGTAAAACAGCTTTTTATGAGCTGGGTGGCTTGCCGCCATCTGAGCCTGGCAGTTAATTAGAGCTAACTTTCACCTGCAGGTGTGTTTATGCATTATTTGGAGCCCCATCCCCATCTAGGGTCCTCTTATCTGAAGCACTCATGCCCCCAAGCAATACAACCAGGTTGCTCCCATGCCAGGAGTACCCCACTTCATTGAAAGTACCCTCCACCCCACATAGATTATTAGAGTTGGAGTCCCCTCCCTCTCCAAAGGCAGTCCTCTGAGCCAGGACTTTAAAATTATATTTTGAATGCAACCACTTCTCCCATCTCCATGCCTACACTTTGAGTTCAAGCCAGCATCATCTCTTGCCTGGTGTGGTAGGCAGAATTCTAATATGGCTTCTGAGATTCCTGCCCCCAGTGTGCACACTCCCCCTCCATGTGAGTGTGGGTGGGATCTGTGGCTGATAGAGATCCCCAGACTCAGATGAGAGTCTGACACCTTGACCACCTTGGTCAAGCTGACACCTTGACCAAAGCATTGTGAGACCTGAAGCATAGGTCCCAGCTGGGCCACATCCAGACTCCTGAGCCATGGACACCGTGAGATCATAAACATAGGTTGTTTTATGCCGCTAAATGTGTGGTGATTTATTATGTGGCAATATAAAAACTGTACACTTGGATTATTGTAAAGGTCATGTAATTCTCATCCTGCTCTGCTCTTGCCCTTCTTGAGTTTATTGTCAACTCATAAATGATCCAAATTCAGCAGTCCTCTCCAAGCTCTGCCACAAAAACCTCCCGACCCCTGGCCTTACCCCAACCCTCATAACCCTATATCCCATCACTCTATTTGTTATATTATCTGAAATTACCTCTGCTCACAAATGTAACTGAAAGACCAAGACTATTGATGGGAAGCAGTGGAGCTAGTGGATGTAAATCTACCCTCTCAGCAACCCTTCTCCAAGCTTCTAGATTCTGGCAATGCCACTTCGTCCCATTTGTTTCTCCAGCAGTAGGGAGGTCACTGCTTCCTGCAGTTACTGATCTCCAGGCTACCTCCCTTTTTGCTTTTTTCAATTTTTCCATATGCATGTAACCAACTTCCTACATTAAATCTCCTCTGTTTGAAATACCTACTGTTCTGATTCAAGTAGCAAAGACAGAAAAAAAAAATAAGAATGAAATACCTATTGTGGATTCTGTTTTCTCGACCAACTCACTCCTCTTCCTGAGTGAGCTTGACTGAGTCTCAGTTCCTTGAAATCCAAAGGTCTTTGACAATAACAGAGAGGAGTTGTGACTTGTCTACAGATATTAATACATTGCAGCAGATATTTGAACCCAGGTCAGCCTCCCCGGTACACCACCCTGGGATCGTATAGACAAAAAAAAAAAAAAAAAAAAAAGTTTGTAGAACGAATGAACAAATGAATGAACATGGTAACAGCAATAAACACTCTGTACTCTAACTCCTTGCTCTTGGACAAAAACTGGATTAACCCTTTGCTGCCTGCAGAACTTTAAATTACCTATCCTTCAGCAAAACACCCAGAGATTAGGCTCTTGTCCAAATGCCTCTCACATCGCATTCTGCAATTTCCTCTGAATAAAGTGATTGTGCTATCCTTTTACAGGGGAAGATTAGTCTTCTCAGTCGGGTGACAGGAGCCAAATGGGAGGTGAAGCATTCTGCCTTCTCTCCACCATCTGTTAACACAACCCCAAGCCACCCTCGGGTTTGCGCCGTCCCCGCTTGGCTTGTTCTGAACAGGGCTGCCGATGCCTTGATTGCTTTTCTTTCAGTGTGTGAATACTCACTTTCTGAGTGCCTCCCGTATTCCCACTTACTCCTCCTGTCTCTTTAGAGGAAGCATCCAATATAATATGCATCTGCTGGCTGAACTCCAGTCCAGGAAGGACCGTGGCAAGGAGAGGCAACCAGAATCAGCATCAGGGTGGTTTTTCATATTCAGGATTCTTTGTTCCTTATTACTTTGTGGGCTTCTTTCCATATGTTATCCTCACTCTGGAATGTCACAAATATAAGGCCCATTGGGATTGAGTTGACTTCAACAAGACCACCCTTTATTGCTGCAAAAATATGACCTGACAAATTCAACATACATCGTTTTGGAAACTCAGAAGCAACATAAATATGATCATGGAACTGGAACAGGGTCCAACATCCAAAACAAACACTTCCTTCTGGATCTGCTCAGAAGAGAAGGGTGCAGGGGAGGAGAGTGACCTACCCCTGCCCACAACACCTGCACTATCTCACTTATGTATTTCCTGATAAAGGTGAAATGGATGTCATGGTCCATAGTAATCACCTCTTTTCAAATCATTTTACACAACTGACATGACAAGAGCCAAAAGAGTCAGGAAATGCAATCCTTTCTGATGTCTGCACAGAAGATTAACCACCTCAAAGAAATTAGGAAAGTGTCTTCATAACAGTGACTTGAAGACACTGCTCTTCAGTATGTTAATGAAAAATCCATTGATGTTTGGCATTTATCAGGTGTCAAAAATTAAATTTAGCTGTCCCGTGATTTTCATTAGTGTTAACCCAGTTAAGCCAGCAGGTAGCTGCCATGATTCAAGCAGACACCTTCATCTGCATATATTTTCTTGGCTAACATGCAGAGAAAGGTGTGAGTGGTATGTAAGAACTTCATGAGAAGGCAGTGTTTGAACTGGACTTTGAAGGAATTTGACAACAGTTCAAAGGGGAGAAGCTCATTCCAGAAAGAATGAACAGAACATGCAAAGGGGCTGAGGCTTAAAAGAAGAAGACACATTCCCAGAATAGCAAATAGTCCAGTTTGCCTGGAGAGTGATGAGGAGATGAGAAGGGAGAGGCACGCAGGGGCCTGGTGGTGAAGGATCTCAAAGCCAGAGTTGAAATCATCTTAACAGAAATTGGGAGTTATTAAAAGCTTTGGGGCAAAATGTGACTTGATTATATCTGGATTTTAGAAAGAACTCTGGAAGCAGTGGGCAGAATGAAGGATGGAAGTGTGGGTGGAAGGATTCAGGAAATATTTCAGGGGTTTCTTGTAGACTCTGTACCTTTATTTGGAACATCATAAGGTCAGAGAGATCAGAGTGAGCTCCTGTACCGTTTCTGCTATAGATGTAAAAAGTAGGATCAGCTCACTAGATCACTGTAGTACAAATAAAGCTAAGGGTTTTATGACAGTTTGACAATACATGCAGAAGTATATTTCACACTTCTGTGATCTTTGGTAAAATCGAAGGCATGGCATTAGCACCCAGAGCAGTAAAGGGTGATGCTAATGAGGATAAGGCAATGGGACTCAGTCTTCACAGAGACTCATCAACCCCAGGAGGGGAAGAAAGACTTCTTGAGGGGTGGGGTATAGAGTAGGATGTGTATAGGAAAGGGCAGTGGACAGTTTGCATGTCTACCTGTGAGTAAAAGTATAGCATCTTTGAAAAGAATGCAGATTCTGGAGTCAGACAATCTGTGTGCTGTTTTTAAAATAGGTCCATCAATTTTTTCAACACTTCTCCCTTCAAAAAGCAGCCTAAATCCCTTCCCCTTGAATGTCGGCTGGATACCTATGAATGAATGAATGAATGAATACAATATGGCAGAACTGCTGGTGTATAACTTTCCAAACAAAGTCATAAGTGACATAATAGCTTCTTCTTTGCTATCTCTCTTATATTACTCACTCTAAAGGAAGCCAGCTCCCATGTCGCAAGGACACTCAAGCAACCCTATGATAAGGAACTGAAGCCCTCCTTCCAACAGCCAGTGGGGAACTAAGGCTTACAGTCAATAGCCATGTGAGTGAGCCATCTGGGAAGCAGATCCTATAGCCCCAGTCAAGTCTTCGGATAACTGCAGCCCCAACCAACCTCTTGATTGAAACCTCATGAAAGACCCTCAGCCACAACCAACCTACACCATTCCTGAGTTCCTGGCCCACAGAAACTACAGGATAACATGTTTATTGTCTTAAGCTGCTAAGTTTTGGGCAACAGATAACTAATACATCTGGGTTCAAATCCAGCCTCCATCACACATAAATTAAATAAGTTTAAGCTTCAGTTTTCTAAACTGTGAAATAAGGATAGTGGAACGCATATCCCAGAGTTGATGTAAGGATTATGTGAGACAAAATACTAATAAAGTATCCCCCTGACCTGCCAGGTATTGCTGATGGTCAAAACACCTGTCCATTTATAACCACAGTAATAATTGTCAAGTGCAGCTAACCACTGGCACCTAGTTTGATGCAAAAAGAACGAATGCAGCTTTGGAAGTATGAACTGGAAATCAAAAGTGTCGTCGTGGCCAGGCGCGGTGGCTCACACCTGTAATCCCAGTACTTTGGGAGGCTGAGGCAGGTGGATCACCTGAGGTGTAGAGTTTGAGACCAGCTGGCCAACATGGTGAAACCCCATCTCCACCAAAAATACAAAAAAAATACCCAGGCATGATGATGGGCACCTGTAATCCCAGCTACTCAGGAGGCTGAGGCAGGAGAATCGCTTGAACCTACGAGGCAGAAGTTGCAGTGAGCCAAGATCACACCATTGTACTCCAGCTTGGGCAACAAGAGCGAAACTCCTTCTCAAAAAAAAAAAGGTGTCATCATTACCAGGGTCCCCCATTGGCCTCCAGGCTGACTATGGTTGCCTGGAATTCTGAGAAAATGTTGTAAAAACAGAGGTCTCTGTGCCTGTGTTGACTTCAGAGTGACCACTGCTATCATGGAAGGAAGTAACATGATGATTCAAGA
This sequence comes from Homo sapiens, assembly GCF_000001405.40. NCBI lineage: Eukaryota > Metazoa > Chordata > Mammalia > Primates > Hominidae > Homo > Homo sapiens. The sequence goes on along the minus strand of NC_000017.11, from coordinate 5,947,966 downwards.
CCAGCATTTCAAAAGGAATAAATTTTGAAAGAGTTTTGTAGGTAAGTTCTCTTACAGTTTCATTCCAGTTTAATCTCTTGGCAACCACCGTAACAACCAATATCCCATAAGTAGATATGAAGAGCATCTATTTGGGGTTTTATCTAGTGGTTTTATCTTCTTGTGACCTCTTGGGAGCATACCTCTGAGTGCTAGGACAGGAATGTGGACACACCTGATGTCTTGGCTCCAGCCCTTCTGAATGACTGAGAAACACTAACATTACTTAAATCCTAATAATATGATCTCTGGATTGACATAACTTAGCATCTGGCATTTGCACCATGGAGTACGCTTTTAAAGGGGAATATTCAAAGGGAATTGCCATGAAAAATGCAGCTTTATTTCTTTCTCTACAACTGATCTAATCTTCCTCACCATCCTCCATCCCTCCAGCTAACAAAGGGCAGAAGGTGTAGGGGGAACGGAATGGACAAACCTTAAACTTTCCAATCAATAGTATCTTGGTTTCTGACAGCTTGATGGTCTCTTCTGAATAACTCAGTCCCTTTCAGATACAATCTTTGTCTCTCAGATTTCTTCCCTCTACCTCTGTTTCTCTCTGAGATGGTGCCTGAGTGTCTGGGGGCTCTTGTGCCCTTGTGGCTGAGAAAATAAGGGGGCTTCTGGTCTTGATCTCTGTCACAGAGTGGCCAGCCACACTGTCTCATCCACTGGAGGGACAGGGGGTCATGTTGACACTTCCTTGGAGTCCAGGGTTCAAGCCATGCACACTCTGGGGCTTCATCCTCATGCCATGCATTGAAGTGTCCTCTGTATCTCCTGAGCTTCTGGCTCCCTGCACAGCACACACAGCACTCACAGGCCATGGGGGCCCAGGGCACCTCCCCAGGCTCTTCTATCAGGGCTCACTCACAGCCAAAGCTGTACCCTCCTTCCTAGTCTACAGTGGCCTATCTCTGAGCCAGAGACTGGGCTATGCCTTCAGAACTAGATCACCCCTCTGACTGTGCCCAGGGGAATAGTCCCCCCACTTCATCTTTTTAAGCTCTCTGATCTCTATGAATCTTTCTTCAGCATTGCCAGGTTAGGTGCATGTGCCTGAAAGGGCACAAAGACTCTGGCATTTGATCTCCTTGCTCCCCCTCCATCCTTCTCCTCTCCACCCTTCTCCAGGATGGAAGGGATGAGTTTCAGCTTCTTTTCTCATGGGCAAAGGCTTCCCTTCCATCAAATCCTCTTCTTCCTAGGCAGTAGCCTGATTGAAGAAGAGGAATCCCTTCCATACTACCAAAGAAACTCTATGAGCTGACTCACCAGGCCTGGCTCTCTTAATACACAAACTCTGAGACAACTCAAACTAGGAATTACTGTATTAGTTCGTTTTCATGCTGCTGATAAAGACTTACCCGAGACTGAGTAATTTACCAAAGAAAGAGGTTTAACTGGATTTACAGTTTCATGTGGCTGGGGTAGCCTCACAATCATGGTGGAAGGCAAGGAGGAGCAAGTCATGTCTTACACGGATGGCAGCAGACAAAGAGAGACAGCTTGTGCAGGGGAACTCCTCTTTTTAAAACCATCAGATCTTGTGAGACTTATTCACTATCATGGGAACAGCATTTCCATGCTTGCCCCCATGATTCAATTACCTCCCACTGGGTCCCTCTCATAACATGTGGGAATTCAAAATGAGATTTGGGTGGGGACATAGCCAAACCGTATCAATTACTAAGGACAAAAATACAATACTTAATAATAAAGAATATTATCCCTGTTATGCAAATTATGGAATAAATCATCTATTTGGGAGGCTAAGGCCTGCATGTTTCCTGACCTGCAGAGACCTGGCTGTGCTATGGAAATATGGACCCACTGAGACCCACAATAGTTTGAATAGCAGTGAGGGGAAAATGTGTAGAAAGCCAGCACATAACTCTCACATGCCTAAGTTATCTTTGTTTTTAGCACCCCCAAAATAAGGACATGAACCCATATGTTTTGATATAAGGAAGTGAAGTTTCAAATAGTGATTTCTTTTTGTTTTTTTTCAAGATGGAGTCTCACTTTGTCACCCAGGCTGGAGTGCAGTGGTGCGATCTCGGCTCACTGCAACCTCCCCCTCCCGCGTTCAAGCCATTCTCCTGCCTCAGCCTCCTGAGTAGCTGGGACTACAGGCATGTGCCACCGGGCTTGGCTAATTTTTTGTGTTTTTAGTAGGGATGGCGTTTCACCATGTTAGCCAGGATGGTCTCGATCTCTTGACCTTGTGATCCACCCGCCTCGGCCTCCCAAAGTGCTGGGATTACA